>NC_000003.12:130069210-130220725 GCF_000001405.40 Homo sapiens | reverse complement strand
TCAGACGACATCACATGCCTGGAGCCGGAGGGTGTGCATGATTAACAGATGGGATCACTGTTCTAGCTTTCAGACACAAAGGAAATAAAATGTTCTCTAGACTCCAAAAGAAGCCACTTCATAATCTTACTTGAGATGCCTCCTTATCTCTTTCCTGGCCTAATATAATGGTAAAAGGGAGCTAGATAACTGTAGATTCCAATCCTGCTATTTAATTTCCTACATTGGTAAATTTCTTTGACTTTTCTCAGACTCCATTTTCTCATTTGTGAAACAGATGTGCCTAACTTATAGAAACAGTGTAGGGATTAAATAGAAGAATAAATTCAACTGTTTAGGCATATGGTTCCTATTATGATTCACCCTACTTCTAGACCCTCCTTTATCTGACCCAGTCACTGGACTTTCAGAGTAATCTTCCAAACCTACAGCTTCCAACATGTGTCTTCCTTGCCTATAAACCTTCAATAGCCCTTGATAACTCAGTAGAAACAAAACTCCCAAAAGTAGCATTAAACTGGCTCCAAATTGCCCTTTCAGGCTTTCTCCCCACTCTTTATACTTTTTATTTTATCCTCCACTCCTATGAAATTAGGATCCTTATTTTTCCAGACCTACCCTGATTTCTTCTAACTCTAACCTTTTCCTTGAGCCCTTTTCTTAAACTAGAATACCCTGTGTCTCTCTCCCAGTCCCTCTCACAGAGGTCTGAGTGAAAAATGTCTTGATTTCCTGCATTTTCTGGAAAGCCGGAGTCCTCTCCACCCTTCAGCACCTGCTCATATAGAAGTTGTTCTCTTGCCCCCCTCTCTCTTCCTTAACTGTTACCTATCTTTTAAATTTCATCCCATCTCCTCCTCAATGAAGCCTTTCTGACTACACAGGCTGGGTCAAATCCCCTGTCGTATTCCTTTCCATACCTTTATCTCTGCAGTAATATTATATCTATTTCTGTGATTATTTCATTCATGTCTATCTTTTTCCATAGAGGCCAATCCTAAGAGATAGAGCCCATGTCTCTTTTGTTCCCCATTCTAGAATCATGCCTTGATTACAATAGATGCTCAATAAATTTTGATGATTGATCAAGTGAAGAAAAGGGAATCTATTTTCGTTTCCTCTCCAAGTCACTGTGCTCCCATTCATTCTTTATTTGCAGCATTGTTACATCCTGTAGCTTATCCTATCTCATATTATAGTTTTTCCTGTACCAGTTGTATCTCCTGCACACTCAATAAGCTCTTTGTTGGTCAGAGCCATGGCTTATGTATCTTGGAACCCTTTTTTGTATCTAGCAAATGTCCCACATGTAGGGACAATAAACACTTGACAGGTGTTTATTGAATTTAACTAAATTTAGCTGAAACTGAAGGCTCTCCAGTGTTAAGAAAGTATGGTATCTCCCACCTTCTCCAAAGTCTGATCCATAAACTTCAAGTTAGAAATTAAACCTCAATAAAGAGCCATGTCTTCTGACTCTCCCTGTTTCACCTATCAGGAATTCAATCCACAACACTAATTGTGCACCTTTGGAGTAAAAGCATTACTCCAATTTCATGAGGAGTACAAAGAAGCATAAGCAAATAAATTACACCCTTTATGTCTAATCCTATCAATCAATAGAAGCTGATTATAGTACTGTGTTAAGATGGATCCTTCAGCCATGTTGGATCCCATAAATGGTTAGTATGTCTGCCATGGGCACAGGAAGGGAGGGTTGTGGGACATATGCTAGGTATCTGCCATCCCTTACATGGAAACAGAATTACCATCAGGAGGAAGTGTGTAATCACTGTCAAACAGATAGTACAAATAATTGCAAGGATGTAGAGAAGGCAAAGATCACTACAAACTGACATGCCAAGGAAGCTGTTGTGAGGAAGAAAGAGAGGAACTGGGCCCATTGAGGAAAAGGTGATATTCAGATTAAGCACTGAATATGGAACCAAGAAAAAGGCATTCCAGGAGAGGCAGCTGGCATGAGCAAAGACACAGAGGTGGGCATGCATAAGCAACATTTCAGAGACAGTGAGCCTAGGAAGACATTTCTTGACAGAGATTTGTAAAGAATGTGGTTGAAAGGCCTTGGATGTAACACTAAATCATCGGTGACAGGGAGCCATGAGAAGCTTGTGAGATGGGGAGTGACATGATCACTGTTCTCAATCACAAAATGTTAAGTCACAGGACTTACTTTACTCATTCTACCATCAGCAGAGTCAGATCTTAGGTGAAGCTTCCAAACAGCTATCTCATATTAATTGCCCTTTAACTCTCCATTTAACTCCATAGGGTTTAAGCCACTAGATGATTTTTTTTTCCCACAGTTTCCCACAGTTTAAAAATAAACTATCCATATCAGGTTACTCAACAGGAAAATGAAAGAATATCATCATACTTTACCCGATTTCCCCTATTTCCTTTTTCTCCAGATGACCCTGGGATTCCGTGATTACCCTAAAAAAAGAAAAATGAACATACAGAGAGCCTGCCTTTTATTAGTCCCACCAAAATTTTTCTTTATGTATTTTCACAATTCTAGCCAAGAGTAGAAAGTACCTTTACTACTCTATTTCTGACAATGTGACAGATTAGATGTTTTGAATAACCCTGCCACTGAAAATTTAAAATTCCAGATAAATTAAAATATATTTTGTATGCATTAAAAATCTGATTTAAGGCTGGGTGCGGTGGCTCAGGCCTGTAATCCCAGCACTTTGGGAGGCCAAGGCAGGTGGATCACCTGAGGCTGGGAGTTCGAGACCAGCCTGACCAACATGAAGCAACCCTGTCTCTACTAAAAATACAAAATTAGTCGGGCATGGTGGCACATGCCTGTAGTCCCAGCTACTCAAGAGGCTGAGGCAGGAGAATCACTTGAACCCGGAAGGTGGAGGTTACAGTGAGCCAAGATCACGCCATTGCACTCCAGCCTGGGCAACAAGAGCAAAACTCCATCTCAAAAAAAAAAATCTGATTTAAAAAATCCTTATGGTTCATAATAAAGAGAAAGCAAAATTGCAGACAAGTAATAGCTCATGGCTGTCCTGAGGGCTTCTTGTAATTGTGTGTGTGTGTGGTGTGTGCCGTGTGTGTGTGTGTGTGTGGTGTGAAGGGCCTCAAACTTACAATTTATTTTAGGGTGGTCCCAGAACGTAGTGCCACTAGGAACACATGACAGAAGCAAACAACCTCAACTCAGGCCCTAATGATGTCTCACAGATAACATTCCATCAAAAAATGAGTTTAAATCAAAAGTCACAACACACATGAGGGAGATGCCATGAAGGAGAAGCCAGCAGAAACAACACACAACAAAATCGGACCTGCAGTGACTGCAAATATTGGGATTATAATATACTGAATATAAAATGAGTATATTTAGTATGTTTAAATAATTAGAAGAGAATGAATAAAATAACAAACTATGAAAGGAGACCAAGTAGATTTCAGAAAGGATCAAATAGAACTACTTGAAGTGAAAAATATAATTAAAATTAAAAATTCAATTGACAAATTAGATATTATATTAAATGCAAGTGAGGTGAGAATTAGTGAACTAGAAACTGAAGAAATTATACAGAATGCAGCACAGAATGACAAAGAAATAGAAATACAAAAGAGCAGTTAAGACATATTGGGGACAAAATGAGAAGTTTTCACAAATTTCTAATTAGATTTCTGCAAAGAAATAATACAGAAAATAGGAAAAATAAAATTTCAAAATGATAATTTCAAAATTAAGCACTGAAGATTTCCAAAATTTATAAGAAACATAAACAGTCAGATTCAAAAGACTGACAAGTCCTAAGCAGAATACATAAAAAGTAATCCACACCTGGACACATCATATTGAAACTGTCAAAAACTAAAATCAAAGGGAACATTTTAAAGCAGCCTTATACATTTTTTAAAGTTGCTTACAAAAGAACAATTATTTTGACAGATAACTTCTTTTTTTCTTTTTTTTTTCTTGAGACGGAGTCTCGCTCTGTCACCCAGCCTAGAGTGCAGTGGCGCAATCTCGGCTCACTGCAAGCTCTGCCTCCCGGGTTCACGCCATTCTCCTGCCTCAGCCTCCCAAGTAGTTGGGACTACAGGTGCCCACCACCACGCCTGGCTAATTTTTTTGTATTTTTAGTAGAGACGGGGTTTCACCATATTAGCCAGGATGGTCTGGATCTCCTAACCTCGTGATCCGCCCGCCCCAGCCTCCCAAAGTGCTGGGATTACAGGCGTGAGCCACCGCACCCGGCCAACAGATAACTTCTTAATGGCACTAATGAAAGGTAGAAGAAAATAGAAGCCAGAAGACTATGAAATTACATTTTCCTTTTTTCTAATACTCTGAGTTGGAGCACTTACGTATTTTTTCCAAGTCTTTTCTTTTTTTCTTTTTTATTATACTTTAAGTTCTGGGGTACATGTGCAGAATGTGCAGTTTTGTTACATAGGTATACACATGCCATGGTTGAAATTACATTTTCACAGTGCTGAGAGAAAGTAACCATCAACCAGAATTGCTTACCCAGTGAACTATCTTTCAAAGAGATTTTCAGGAAAACAAAAACAAGAAGAGTTTACAATGAACTGACCTTCATTAAAGGAAATTCTAAAAGTTGTGCCTTAAGCAAAAGAAACATGATTTTTTCATGTTCTTTTGAAGGTATCGATGACTACAAGGAAGGCATCAGTCAGATGAGTAAACATGAGGGTAAAGCTAGATAAGCATTGACTATATAAAACAACAATAAGAATGTGTAATCGGCAGAATTTAACAAAAACAAGATGGAAATAAAATACTAGACAATAATATGTAATATGGGAGGGAGTTGATTAAAGTTTCTAGAGTCCTTGTATTTTGAGGATGAGGAAAAATACAGAGATTAACATTAAACATTGTTGAGTATGCATGTTAAAAATTCTAGCTAGTCATGAAAAGCTGTACTCTCTACAAGAGTATAAATGCCAGGTTAATAGAGAGGAAGACATTAAATGAGAAACTTCTGCACCTGTTCTCCATGCAAGCCATCAACTCCCTCACCAGGGTTGCCCTGTGAAGCAAAGGAAGATCAGAATCTTAGAGACAAGAGAAACAGGTTTATGTGAATATTTCTTTGATGTTAATTTCCTTGCTAATATTTTTTCAATTGATACAGAATCTAGACTCTGTAACACTTATATACTGCACCCAGTTACTAAAAAGTAATGATTATTTTCTTCCTGAAACAGTTATTAGGGTTATATACTGTTTTACCTCATAGCTTCAGGTGCTAAAAATGTGTATGTATTTTTTAACCTCAAAATTTGAGTGGATAAGAGACTCCCTTTAAACTTTTGCACTTGGAACAAGTAGCTGTTTCACAAGACCAAATGAAACACTGGTTGTCGAATGCCAAAAATGGTCTTTTTGTCATTGACCTTCTTTAAAAAGATGGCAAATATGCCCAAATTAATCAATCTAATGGAAACCTGGTAGTTCACAGATTAAGGAGGAACTGAATGAGTGTGTGTGCATGTGTGTGCATTTTGGGAGATAAAATTTTAAAAAAGAAAGGAAGTGAAAAACTGAGGCTAATTAGGAGATAAGAGTAAAACTGGGCAGTGGCATGGTGACATCTCATCAAATATTCCATCACTTTCAAATTATGGGCCCTTCATTTTGCCAACTAACCCAAAATGACCAATAATATATTCATTATAAAGAATTTTTTAAAGAAAAAGCCAGAGTTTCACAAGCAAAATAAAATGCATTTGCATGTGTGAAATAGTTGATTTACGCCTGCTGTCTACAAAAGCAAATCAAGTTTCAGGCTTTTTTTTAACCAAAGCACAGCTGAGTTATACATAAAAATAAGTATACCGAACTCTTGGACTAGAATTACATGGCATATTTGCCACAGGCCGCAGAAGGTTAATCGATGGTACCAGAAAACATGAATAAGGAAGCTCCATGAGCCCTTGTGTGTCTTGTTCATCATTTTGTAACCACTCCCTAGGATAATGTGGGGAACAGAGTGGGTACCTAATAAATACTTTTTGAGTGAGTGAATCAGCAAATGGATGCTATGGTTCTGAATCTGAATGTAAATCATTCCCTTCTTGTGCCAACTCCTTTCCTAACAACCTCATCCCAGCATTCCTCTTCCATTTGACACCCACCTTGACCAGACCCAGCCCACCATACCCTGGATTCAGGACCAACACTTCTAGACCATCATGTGATGAATATGGTGGCCCAATTCTTATACAGAGTCAGCGAGGATTGCAAACAATATGTCACTGCCTTAAACCTGAAATACATGTCTTAAAAATAGTCACTCATTAGCATGGAAGTTTGGCTATTAATATCATCTGACAAATTCTCTTGTCTAAAAGTCTGAAGCCTCACCTCACTCAGGCAAAGAAATGCGATTGAAATAAGTATTGCATTTCCCAAAGAAACTGCTATCCAGTTTAAGAAGGATAAAGGAGATTACCTACCTTCTCTCCTGAAAATCCTCTTGCTCCCTAAAGTTAGAAAGAGATCATAAGAATTGAGCTTGAATGAGATTTTTAAGCCCTTGTTTCATTTAGGAAACCATATGTTCCCTGGTTTGAAGAAAATGCAATTACAATATTAGATCAAAATGAAGATGCCTTGTCTGGCAAATGTGGTGGGCATTACAACACCCTGGTTATTGCTACCCTCCTTTGCATGGAACCTGGAGAAAATTGCACTTTGCAGTTCCTCACATAGTAGGAATGAAAGGGAACAACAGTGGCCTACCTCTTATTAAAATGATGATATTTTTTCAAACAAAAGTGAGAATATATCGGCTAGCAAGCATGATAGGAGTTCAAGGAACAACAGGAAAAATGAATTGAAAGAGTAATTTGATAGGTATACAGAACATGGTCATTGTGGTTAGGAAAACTGTCTTTAGGATTCTTAGATTGTAGAATTTTTTTCTTTTAGTTTATTAAGGAAGATTCTCCAATCCTGGACAGTTGAGGGACATTTAATGCAACCAGCCAAAAATGTACCTGTATCCCTTTAGCCTTTAAAACTTTAGTGTTCTCACATAGACACAGGGAGGGGAACAACACACACTGGGGCCTCTGTCGGCGGATGGAGTTGGGGGAAGGAGAGCATCAGGAAAAATAGCTAATGCATGCAGGCCTTAATAGCTAGGTGATGGGTTGACAGGTGCAGCAAATCACCACGGCACACGTCTACCTATGTAACAAACCTGCACATCCTGCACATGTACCCCAGAACTTAAAATTAAAATAAAAACAAAAACAAAAAAAACTTTAGTGTTCTCAATCCTACTTCCAACCACCAGCACCTGTCACTCTTTTCTGAGGGTTTTTTCAGGGACCAGGGCCTGCTCTACCCACATGCAAGACAGACCCAAAGTGCTAGGAACTAATACCTCCTGGAAGCTGCTGTTAACTAATTCTTGATGGGATTTGGTGTATAAATACCACAGCTCCCTCATCCCTTAACTGGGGTACATTGAGATGCATGTTCAACTCTGGGTGCCAGAGTTCTTCAGTATGATTAAGCTCCATCTACCCACAGTGGTGATCTGATTTATAATGTACCCTTTTCAGGCCTCCTTTCCTCCTTATCTCACTTCTTTACTTCCCCACTAATGCTTACTAGAATTATCTCCCAGTAAAATACTTGCAATTGACTCTTTTTCTCAGGCTTTACTTCTGGAAAACCTTTAATCTGAGGGGGAGCTAAGACTCCATAGCTATGTTGAAGAGTTATGATTTTCCTCAAACTCAAGAGATGAAGCCAAGAAAGAGAAAGAATCCCACAGCTTAAGGTCACACTCACCTTAGGTCCCCTCATACCAGGGCATCCTTCCTCACCTCGGAGTCCAGGAAGACCTCAGGGGCCTCGTTCTCCCTGTGGAAGAAGAAGACACATGAATGCACTCAAGCAACTGTCTCTGTCAAAGCAATTGTTTAAAGTACAGGTCTTTTTCAAAATGGAGTCTCTTATGTCTTCCCTTTCTATGTAGACACAGTAACAGTCTGATCTCTCTTTCTTTTCCCTACATATCCCCCTTTTCGTTTTGACAAAACCACCACCATCATCATGGCCCCTTCTCTCTGGTCGGTCGCTGTCTCTCTGGAGCTGCTGGATACACCTGTAGACTAACAACAGAAAAGACAGACATACAAGGATTAATACAAAATTTGCAATAGTGGAATTTCCGGTGGTTTTAACCCAAGTGACGGGGGCAAGAGGACGGTGTGGGTGCTGCGGCACCCAGGCAGTCTCCCACCTCCTTTGTGTCTTAGTTGCTGTTTCTCATCGTTTTCAGTCTTTCTCCTCACCTGATGACTCGCACCTTTTATCTCTTTGTCTCCCTTCTCTTATGGTCTCTCTCTCTCTCTCTCTTTTACACTATCTCTCTCCCCAATCTCACTTTCTGTGTCTGTCTCTGATCTCTGTCTCTTTTTCTTTCTATTCTTCTCCCTGGCTCTCCACATGTGCCGTTTTCTTGGTGGATGGTAACTTCATCTGTTCTTCTGATATCACCATTTTGTTCACCCTGCGAGTCGATGATGCTTGATTGCGGGTTTTCTGTCTCTGCGGAGGCACTTTCATTTGCATCTCTGATGGGTTGATTGTAGAACTTCAAATGTCTAGTGGGTATCCAAACAGGAAGCTGATTTTCTCCTGGTGAAACACAAGCAAAACCTCTCCCCCATGTTATCACCTTACCTATTTCCCATGTTTTGTTTTTGTTGTCTTCCACCAAATCAGTTTTCCCTCATGTGGGCTGTTCTTTTTACCAGGAAAATGTTCTGCAGAAGTAGTGGTCTGATTTCTCTGTATGTTTAGAAAATTTAAAGTATAGAGTGTTAGATTAAGTTGCATCTGGGGAGTGTTATACTCCTTACTGTGTTTTTCCTTTTTTTGTTTAACCAATTGAGCTTTGAGTGTTCTAAGCAGGACAGGTAAGATCTGCATCTGGCACAGCCAGCCAGGTCTCCTTACCCTCTGCTTCCCTTTCTGCCTGTGACTGAATGGGTATGTCAGGGTCTAGTAGAGGATCCAGGAGGAGGAAGCCTCATTAACTTCTATTCTGCAGCAATTGATGGCCACCGAACTTGAACAGTGGGGGCTTATCACCTCATGTACTAAGACCGGAGATAGCTGATGCCAAGGTTGGCTAAATTAGTAGCTTGAGATGTTAGGTTTTTCATTTGAGGTTTCTATGCTGCTATTGTCTTCTGCTCTTGGTCACAGAGGCTGCCACAATCCGCATGTCAAGTCCTCATGTGACAATATCCAGAGACAACAAGGAAGAGGTACAGTGTATTCCTCCATGTTTCTTAAAAAAATGTTTTTGATAGAGAATAATTGTACACATTTGTGGGGTCCATGTGAGATTCTGGTACATGCATGCAATGTGTAATGATCAAATCAGGGTCTTTAGGATATTAATCACCTCAAACATTGATCATTTCTTTGTGTTGGGAATATTTCAAATCTTATTGCTATTTAGAAATATACAATAAATCCATTTATCAGGATACAAAATCTATGTACACAAATCAATAGCAGTGCTATACACCAACACCTACCAGGCTGAGAATCAAATCAAACCCTTTTATGATAGCTGTAAAAATAAAATACTTAGGAATATACCTAACCAAGGAGATGAAAGACCCCTACAAGGAAAACTACAAAACACTGTTGAAAGAAATCATAGATGAAACAAAAAAATGGAAACACATTCCATGCTCATGGATGGGTAGACTCAATATTGTGAAAATCACCATACTGCCAAAAGCAGTCTACAAATTCAATGCAATTCCTATCAATATACCATCATCATTCTTTATAGAACTGGAAAAAAATAATGCCAAAATTCAATTGGAACTAAAAAAGAGTCTGCACAGCCAAAGCAAAACTAAGCAAAAAGAACCGATCTAGAGGCATCACATTACCCAACTTCAAACTATATTACAAGGCTATAGTCACCAAAACAGCATGGTGCTGGTATAAAAATAGGCACATGACCAACGGGACAGAGTAGAGAAGCTAGAAATAAAGCCAAATACTTAACACCCAACTGATCTTCGACAAAGTAAACAAAAACAAAGTAGGGAAAGTACACCCTATACAACAAATAGTGCTGGGATAATTGGCAAGCCACATGTAAAATAATAAAACTGGATCCTCATCTCTCACCTTATACAGAAATCAACATAAGATGGATCAAAGACTTAAATCTAAGGTCTGAAACCATAAACATTCTAGAAGATAACATTGGAAAACGCTTCTACACATTGGCTTAGGCAAACAGTTCATGATCAAGAACCCAAAAGCAAATGCAATAGAAACAAAGATAAATAGATGGGACTTAATTAAAGTAAAAGCCTCCTGCACAGCATAGGAAATAATCAGCAGAGTAAACAGATCACCCACAGAGTGGGAGAAAATTTTCACAAACTGCATCTGACAAAGGACTAATGTCCAGAATCTACAGGGAACTCTAATCAGCAAGAAAAAAATAATCCCATCAAAAAGTGTGCCAAGGACATTAATAGACAATTTTCAAAAGAAGATATACAAATGGCCAACAAACATATGAAAAAATGCTCAACATCACAAATTACCAGGGAAATGCAAATCAAAATCACAATGCAATACCACGTGTAAAATAAACAAAAATAGAGCTGGGTGCGGTGGCTCATGCCTGTAGTCCCAGCACTTTGGGAGGCCGAGGTGGGCGGATCAGGAGGTCAGGAGTTTGAGACCAGCCTGACCAACATGGTGAAACCGAGTCTCTACTGAAAATACAAAAATTAGCCAGGCATGGTGGTGGTTGCCTGTAATCCCAGCTACTCAGGAGACTGAGGCAGGAGAATTGCTTGAACCCGGGAGGCAGAGGTTGCAGTGAGCTGATATCGCGCCACTGTACTCCAGCCTGGGTAACAGAGCGAGACTCCATCTCAAAAAAAAAAAAAAAAAAAAAAAAAAAGCAAAAATTGATGTTGGCACGGACGTGGTGAAAGAGAACGCTTTTACACTGATGGTGGGAATGTAAGCTAGTACCACCACTATGGAAAGCAGCATGGAGATTCCTTAAAGAACTAAAAGTAGATCTACCATTTGATCCAGCAATCCCACTGCTAGGTATCTACCCAGAGGAAAAGAAGTCATTATATGAAAAAGATACTTTTGCACACATGTTTACAGCAGCAAAATTCACAGTTGCAAAACTATAGAACCAGCCCAAATGCCCATCAATCAATTAGTGGATAAAGAAAATGTGTTTATATATATATATACACACACACACACACACACACACACACACACACACACACACACACACACACATATATATATATATATATATATATATATATATATACCATAGAATACTACTTAGCCTTAAAAAGGAATGAAATAATGGCATTCATAGCAACCTGGATGGAGTTGGAGACCATTATTCTAAATGAAGTAACTCAGGAATAGAAAACCAAACATTGCATGTTCTCACTCGTAAGTGGGAGCTAAGCTATGATGATGCAAAGGCACAAGAATGAAACAGTGGACTTTGGGGGCTCAGGGGGAAGGTGGGAGGAGTTGAGAGATAAAAGACTATACATTGGGTAAACTACTTTGGTGATGGGTACGCCAAAATTTCAGAGATCACCACTAAGGAACTTATCCATGTAACAAAATACCACCTGTTCCCTAAAAACTATTGAAATTAAAAATATATATATACAACAAATTGTTGTAGTCACTTTCTGTGATAATGAACACTAGATCTTATACCTTCTATTATATATTTTTATACCCATTAATCAACTTCTTTTCAAACCCCTTCTATTCCCAGCCTCTGGTAACTATCATTCTACTCTTTATCTCCATGATATCAATTTTATATAGCTCCAGGGCACACAAGTCCATAACTGCGGTCTCTATCCCTGACCCTACTGACCTGAAACATGGCCCCCACTTTGATTTCCAGGAGCATAAACCGCTCATATAAGTGAGAACATGCAATAGTTTTCTTTCTGTGCATGGCCTAGTTCACCTAACTTTATGACCTTTAATTCCATCCATTTAGCTGAAAATGACAGGATTTCATTCTTCTTTATGGCTGAATACTATTCTATTGTGCGTCTATTCCCATTTTCTTTATCCATTCATCCATTGATTGACACTTAGATTGAGTCCATATCTTGGCTATTGTAAATAGTGCTGCAGTAAATATGGGGGTACAGATATCCCGTTGATACACTGATATCCTTTTTTTTGGATATATACCCAGGAGTGGGATTGCTGGATCATATGGTAGATCTGTTCTTAGTTGTTTGAGAAATCTCTGTACTTTTTTTCATAATGGCTGTACTAATTTACATTCCCAACAATATATGATAATTTTCTTCTCTTCACATGCTTGCCAGCATTTGTTGTGCTTTGTCTTTTTAATAATAGCCATTCTAACAAGTATGAGATGATATCTCACTGTGGTTTTGATTTGCATTTCCGTGATTATTAGTGATGTTGAATATTTTTTCATAAACTTGGTGATTTGTATATCCTCTTTTGAGAAATGTCTGTTTATTTTTTGATAGTTTCTTTTGCTGTGCAGAAGCTCTTTCATTTAATTAGATCCCATTTGTCAATTTTTGCTTTTGTGGCAATTGCGTTTGGCATCTTCACCATGAACTCTTAGCCCATCACTATGTACCGGATGGTATTGCCTAGGTTGTCTTCCAGGGTTTTTATAGTTATGGGTTTTACATTTAAGTCTGTAGGCCATCTTGAGTTAATTTTTGTATATGGTGTAAGGGAGGGTTGTTGTCTTTTCACTCTGTTGATTGTTTTCTTTGATATGCAGAAGGTATTTAATTTAATATAATCCCATTTGTCTGTTTTTGTTGCTTGTACTTTTTAAGTGTTAGCCATACAATCTTTGTTCTCAAGCGTTTCTCCTGTGTTTACTTCTAGTAGTTTTATAGTTGTGGCTGTTACATTTAAGTCTTTAATCGATTTTGAGTTTATTTTTGTAAGTGATGAGAGATAAGGGTCTAGTTTTATTCTTCTGTGTTTGGATATCTAGTTTCCCTGGCACCATTTAATGAAGAGGGTGTCTTTTATTCAATGTATGTTCTTGACACCTTTCTTGAAAATCAGCTGTAAATATGTGGATTCATTTCTGGGTTCTTTAGTCTGTTTCCTTTGTTATTGTGTCTGTTTTAATACCAATACACTCTGTTTTGGTTACTATAGCTTTGCAGTATGTGTGTGTATATACATATATATATATATATATATATATATATATATATATATATATTTTTTTTTTTTTTTTTTTTTTTTTTTTTTTTTTTGAGACAGAGTCTTGCCTTGTCACTCAGGCTGGAGTGCAGTGATGCAATCTCGGCTCATTGCAAGCTCCGCCTCCCGGGTTCACGCCATTCTCCTGCCTCAGCCTTGGCTAATTTTTTTGTTTTTTTTTAATAGAGATGGGGTTTCACCGTGTTAGCCAGGATGGTCTCGATCTCCCGACCTCATGATCCACCCGCGCTGGCCTCCCCAAGTGCTGGGATTACAGGCATGAGCCACCACGCCCAGCTGCTTTGCAGTATACTTTTAAATCAGGTAGTGTGAGGCTTCTAGCTTTGTTCTTTTTGCTCAGTATTGCTTTGGCTATTTGGGGTCTTCTGTGGTTCCATATGAATTTCAGGGTTTTTTTTTTTCCTGTTTCTGTGAAGAATATAATTGATAGGGATTATACTGAATCTCTAGATTGCTTCGGGTAGTGTCATTTTAACAGTATTAGTAATTCCAAGCCACGAGCATGAGATGCTTTTCCATTTGTTTGTGTCTTCTCAATTTATTTTATCAGTGTTTTGTGGTTTTCATTGTAGAGGTTTTTTTTTTTTTTTTTCCCCATCCTTGGTTAAGTTTATTCCTAGGTATTTTATTTTTGTAGCTATTGTAAATAGAATTTCTTCCTTGGTTTCTTTTTTAGCTAGTTTGTTACTGGTATATAGAAACATTACTGATTTTTGTATGTTGATTTTGTGTCCTAAAGCTTTACTGAATTATACATCTGTTTTTTTAAATTTTTTTTATTTTTTATTTTTTGAGATAGAGTCTCGCTCTCTTGCCCAGGCTGGAGTGCAGTGATGCAGTCTTGGCTCACTGCAACCTCCGCCTCTGGGTTTCAAGTGATTCTCCTGCTTCAGCCTCCCAAGTAGCTGTGATTACAGGCACCTACCACCATGGCTGGTTAATTGTATTTTTAATAGAGACAGGATTTCACCATGTTGGCCAGGCTGGTCTCAAACTCCCAACCTCAGGTGATCCGCCCACCTTGGCCTCCCAAAGTGCTGGGATAACAGGCATGAGCTACCATGCCCAGCCTAATTTATCCATTTTAAGAGTTTTTTGGTGGAGTCTTTAGGTTTTTCTGTTTACAAGTATAAGATTATGTCATCTGCAAAGTGAGACAATTTGACTCCCTCTTGTCTAGTTTGGATGCCTTTTATTTCTTTATTTTGTCTGATCACTCTGGCTTGGATGTCCCATACTGTGTTGAATAAGAGTGGTGAAAGTGGGCATCCTTGTCTTGTTCCAGTTCTTAGAGGAAAAGCTTTTCAATTTTTCCCAGTGAGTAGGATGTTAGCTGTAGATTAGTCATATATGCCTTTTCTTATGTTGAAGTGTTCCTTCTATGCCTAATTTGTTGAGAGTTTTCATCATGAAGCAATGGTAAGTTTTACCGAGTGATTTTTCTGCATCTGCTGAGATGATCAGATAGTTTTTGCCTTTCATCTTGTTGATGTGATGTATCACATGCATTGATTTTGTGTACGTTGAGCCATCTTTGCATTCCTGGGATAAATCCCACTTGATCATGGTATATTATCTTTTTCATTCATCATTAGATTTGGCTTGGTAGTATTATGCTGAGAATTTGTCCATCTGTGTTCATTAGGAATATTGGCCTGTAGTTTTCTCTTTCTGTTGTGTCCTTGTCTTGATTGGATATCAGGGTAATGCTGGCCTTATACAATGAGTTAGGAAGAATTCCCTCCTCTTCAATTTTTGGGAATAGTTTGAGAAGAATTGGTGTTTGTTTTTCTTTATAAACTGGGTAGAAATCAGCATAAAAGCCTACTCTAGGGCTTTTCTCTTTGGGGAGACTTTTTGTTACTGATTCAAACCTGCTATTCATTTTGAGTCAGTTCAGGTTTTCTGTTTCTTCCTAGTTCAATCTTGGTAGGCTGTGTATGTCTGGGAATTTATCCCTTTCCTCTAAGTTTTCCAATTTGTTAGGATATGCTTGTTCATAATAGCCTCTAATCATCCTTTTTATTTCTTTGGTAACAGTTGTAATATCTCCTTTTTCATTTCTGATTGTATTTATTTGGGTCTCCTTTCTTTCTCTTTTTTTTTTTTTTTTGGTTAGCCTCACTAGTGGTTTATCAGTTTTGTTTAACTTTTCAAAAAAACAACTTTTATCTTGTTGATTCTTTGCATTTCTTTTTTGTCTCTGTTGCATTTGGTTCTGCTGTTATTTTTTTTTCTTTCTACTAATTGTGTGTTTGGTTTGTTCTTGCTTTTTGAGTTCCTTGAGGTGCAACATTAGGTTGTTTATTTGAGATCTTTCTACTTTTTTGGTGTAGGCATTTATTGCTATAAACCTTCCTCCTAGTATTGCTTTTGCTGTATCCCATAGGTTTTGCATGATGTGTTTCCATTTTCTGTTTAAAAAAATTTTTTGATTTTCATCTTAATTTCTTCATTGACTCAATGATCATTCAATAGCACATTTAATGTCCATGTATTTGTACAGTTTCCAAATTTTTTGTTATTGATTTCAAGTTTTATTCCATTGTGGTCTGAGAAGATACTTGATATGATTTTAATGTTTAAAATTTTGTTGAGCCTTGTTTTGTGTCCTAACATATGGTCTATCCTGGAGAATGTTCCATGTGTTGATGAGATGATTGTGTATTCTGCTGCTGCTGGATGAAATATTCTGAAAATATCTGTTAGGTCCATTTGGTCTAAAGTGCAGCTTAAATCTAATGTTTCTTTGTTGATTTTATGTCTAGATGAACTGTCCAATGCTGACAGTAGGATATTGAAGTTCTCAACTATCATTGTATTGGACTCTATCTCTCTCTGTAGATTTAATAATATTTGCTATGTGTGTCTGGATGCACTTGTGTTGGTTGCATGCATATTTAGAATTGTTATATTTTGTTGCTGAATTGATCCCTTTATTACCATATAATGACCTTCTTTGTCCTTTTTACAGTTTTTGACTTAAAGTCTGTTTTATCTGATGCAAGTTTAGCTACTCCTGATTACTTTTGATTTCTGTTTGTGTGGCATATCTTTTTCAATCTCTTCACTTTCAGTCTGTGTGTGTCTTTACAAGTGAAGTGAGTTTCTTGTAGACGTTGTTGGGTCATTTTTTATCCATTAAGCCTGTCTCTATCTTTTAGGTAGGTAATTTAACACATATTCGAAGTTATTGTTGATAGGTGAGGACTTATTCCTGTCATTTTGTTCATTGTTTGCTGGTTATTTTGTATATCCTTTTGATTTCATTTAGCTGTGTCCCCACTCAGATCTCATCTTGAATTCCCATGTGTTGTGGGAGGGACCCAGTGAGAAGTAGTTGAATCATGGGGGCAGGTATTTTCCATGCTATTCTTTTGATAGTGAGTAAGTCTCATGAGATCTGATGGTTTTAAAAGGAGGAGTTTCCCTGCTCAAGCTCTCTCTTTGCCTGCTGCCATCCCTGTAAGATGTGACTTGTCTCTCCTTGACTTCCGCAATGATTTTGAAGCCTCCCCAGCAACGTAGAACTACAGTTTAAGTCCATTAAACCTCTTTGTTTTGTAAATTTCCCAGTCTTGTATGTGTCTTTATCAGCTGTGTGAGAACGGACTAATACAGTAAATTGGTACCAGAAGTGGGGTGTTGCTAAAAGATACCTGAATATGTGGAAGTGACTTTGGAACTGGGAAACAGGCAGAGGTTGGAGGGCTCAGAAGGAGACAGGAAAATGTGGGGAAATTTGGAAGAGATTTCCTAGAGACTTGCCCAAAATGCTGATGGTTATATGGACAATAAAGTCTAGGCTGAGGTGGTCTCAGATGGAAATGAGGAACTTGCCGGGAACTGGCACAAAAGTGACTCCTGTTATGTTTTAGCAAAGAGACTGGTGGCATTTTGCCCCTGCTGTAGAGATTTGTGGAATTTTGAACTTGAGAGAGATGATTTAGGTTATCTGGTAGAAGAAATTTCTAAGCAGCAAAGCATTCAAGAGATGACTTGGGTGCTGTTAAAGGCCCTCAGTTTTATAAGGGAAGCAGAGCACAAAAGTTTGGAAGATTTGCAGCCTGACAATGCAATAGAAAAGAAAATCCCATTTTCTCAAGAAAAATTCGATCTGGCTGCAGAAGTTTGTTTAAGTAACGAGGAGTCAAATGTGAATCTCCAAGACAATGGGGAAAGTGTCTCCAGGGCATGTCACAGAGCTTCATGGCAGCCCCTCCCATCAAAGGCCCAGCGGCCTAGGAAGAAAAGATGGTTTTGTGGACTGGACCCAGGGCCCCCTGCTGTGAGCAGCCTCGGGTGCCTGAGTCTTAGCCACTCCAGCTGCACCTAAAAGGAACCAAGGTACAATGTGGGCTGTGGCTTCAGAGGGTGCAAGCCCCAAACCTTAGCAGCTTCCACATAGTGTTGAGCCCGTGGGTGCACAGAAGTCAAAAATCGAGGTTTCGGAACTGCTGCCTAGACTTCAGAAGGTGTATGGAAATGCCTAGTTGTCCAGGCAGAAGTTTGCTGCAGGGGCAGGGCACTCATGGAGAACCTCTACTAGGGCAGTGCAGAAGGGAAATGTGGGGTCGAAGCCCCAACATAGAGTCCCTACTGCAGCACCACCTAGTGGACCTGTGAGAAGAGGGCCACCATCCTCCAGACCCCAGAATGTTGGATTCACTGACAGCTTGCGCTGTGTGCCTGGAAAAGCTGCAGACACTCAATGCCAACCCGTGAAAGAGCCAGGAGGGGGTTTATACCCACAAAGCCACAGGAGTGGAGCTGTGGCCTTTTTTCTCCCAAGGCCATGGGAACCCACCTCTTACATCAGCATGACCTGCATGTGAGACATGGAGTCAAAGGAGATCATTTTGGGGCTTTGAGATTTGACTGCCCCACTGGATTTTGGGCTTGCATGGGGCCTGTAGCCCCTTTGTTTTGGCAATTTTTTCCCATTTGGAATGACTGTGTTTACCCAATGCCTATACCCCCATTGCATCTAGGAAGTAACTAACTTGGTTTTGATTTTACGTGCTCATAGGTGGAAGGGATTTGCCTTGTCTCACATGAGACTTTGGACTGTGGACTTTTGAGTTAATGCTGAACTTAGTTAAGACTTTGGGGGACTGTTGGGAAGGCAAAATTTGTTTTGAAATGAGATTTGGCAAGGGCCAGGGGCAGAATGATATGCTTTGGTTGTGTTCCCACCCAAATCTCATCTTGAATTCCCACATGTTGTGGGAGGGACCTGGTGGGAAGTAATTGAGTCATGGGGACAGGTCTTTCCCATGCTGTTCTCATGATAGTGAATACGTCTCACAATGTCTGATGGTTTTAAAAAGGGTAGTTTCCCTGCAGAAGCTCTCTTTTGCCTGCTGCCATCCAGGTGAGACATGACTTGCTTTTTCTTGCCTTCCAACATGATTGTGAGGCTTCCTCAGCTACGTGGAAATGTAAGTCCATTAAACCTCTTTCTTTTGTAAATTGCCCAGTCTCAGTCAGGTATGTCTTTATCAGCAATGTGAAAACAGACTAATACACCTTTGTTCCTTTTTTCTCTCATTATTTATTGTTGCAGTTTGGTGGTTTTCTTTAATGGTGACGTTTGAATCCTTTCTCCTTTGTGTGTCTGCACTACCATGAGTTTTATACTTTCATGTATTTTCATGATGGTAGATATTGTTCTTTTGCTTCCCAGTGTAGGACTCCCTTAAGCATTTTTTGTAGGACCACAACAAACAAGACACAAACAAACAGTCTTTTGCTTATCTGGGAAATATTTTTTCTCTTTTTTAAGCAATGGAGTCTCACTCTGTCACCCAGGCTTAATACAACAGTCATTTATTTTCATGGATCTATGGGTCAGCTGAGGATTGGTTAATCTAGCATGAGCATGTCTGGGAAACTCTGCTTTGCTCTTGGTGTCTCTTATCTTCTGCTGGAAGCAGCAGGCTGGCCTGGGCTTGTTCTCATGGTGATAGCAGGAGCGAGTGAGCACAAATGAATGCATACATTCCAAGTTTTTGGTCATGCAGATTAATATTCCAGTGGCCAAAGCTAGACACATGACTAAACCCAACATTAGGGGCTGGAGAAATATACTCCAATTCTTCAGTGGGAGGAGCTGCAGAGACAAATGGCAGAGTCTTGGTTACAGGGAGGACATGGATCCATTAATGTACCTTAATCAACTGCAACCCTCTAACCACCAATACAATTAAATAAGTATTTGTTGAATGCACTTGTGCCTGAATGCTTCTGGCTGCAGCCCAGGCAATGGGGGCCTGACTGCGGAGGGACCATAGCAGGGACTCGATGTCCTGCAGGTCTGCATGTAATTGTGTACGGCCGACTCCACATTGGTCATGGCTGATTTGCTTTGTCCTGCGTCCCCAAGGGGCAACGATTGGCTGATTTTATTTCTGAACAATTTTGACAAAGTTGTTTTCAGGGGCCCAGGAAACAAATCAATTGTAGATTTGAATTTTGCAGGGGGTCAGAATTGTTGAATATATATATAGTCTTTTACATGCTGATAATTATTTCCATACCACAAAGAAGGCTAGCTATTAGGAGGCTGCTGTTCAATTCCTTTGCCCCGTGAGCTCATGAGCTGTGTCTATGTGGGGGGCACTCACTTGTTAGAGATATTTCCCTTCAGAATAACATTAGCCAATATTCTAAATAAATGCAGGAAATTAAATAGTCTTCCCCAGACAGGTACTTTGCCCTTCTAAAGTGAATTACACATTGTAAAATAAAACACAGTCACATTAAAAAACCAAAAGGTCTTTGTGTTAGGTTGGTCTGGCATCAGCAAAGATATTTTCCTCCAGAGTAGAAGATCCCTTTAATGCACGATATTGCGTGTGGCAGCCCCACATCTCGTTTCCTTTTCTTTGTTGTTGTTTTTAACTAAAAGAGTTGACAATTTTATTTTCACATTTCCCAATAGAAATGAAAACTGCATCTTTTTTGTTCCCACTTCTCCCCTCCAAAACTATTCTCTTTGATAGGGCAAGCGGGCAAGTCTTCCTTATGCTGTTAAGAAAACCCGGCATCACAGCAGCATGATCTCCTGGTGAAGGGAGCAGGTAAATATAAAACTCATATAGGCCAGGCGCAGTGGCTCACACCTGTAATCCCAGCACTTTGGGAGGCTGAGGCGAGCGGGTCACGAGGTCAGGAGATTGAGACCATCCTCGCCAACATGGTGAAACCCTGTCTCTACTAAAATAAAAAAAATTAGTCGGGCATGGTGCGCACGCCTGTAGTCCCAGCTACTCAGGAGGCTGAGGCAGGGGAATCGCTTGAACCCAGGAGGTGGAGGTTTCAGTGAGCTGAGATCGTGCCACTGCCCTCCAGCCTGGGCGACAGAGGAAGACTGTGTCTCAAAAACAAAACAAAACATTACAAACAAAGAAAACACAACATTAATAACAACAAAACAACACTGATGTAATGAGGCCTCCCCTCTATCCTTATCTGTCTGGTCAAGTCATTTTGGGCTGACTGGGCACCATCATGAGACGGGCAGGAGGTCTCATCATTGGGCACCCAGGCATCATGGGCATGTGGCCTCCCATGGGTGGCCTCATTCCAGGAGCAGGTCCCACTGGCATCATCCCAGGAGGAGGAGGGCCCATCATTGGCATCACGGGAGGGCCCCCCATATGGGGTGCTGCCATCATTCTGAGATGTGCAAGAAGTGTCAAATACACATTAGACTGTGAAGACTTAATGTAAAAAGAAAGCAAAGTATTTTGTTAATGTTAAAATATTTTATACTTGTAGACCTGGTATTTCGGATAGATTTGTTTAAATCTGTGATATTATTCCAATTACCTTCACTTCTTTTGTTTTACTTTTTAAAATGTGGTTACTACAAAATGCAAAAGTAAATATGTGGCTTCCATCATATTTCATCACATTTAGTGTGGGCCCTGAGGATCTAGGGGAGTTATGAGCCTTAAGTTGAGGGTGACCCAGGTCAACGTGAATTGCTCTGAAAGAGAAGCAAAGGGCATAAAGAGAACGTATAAATGGAGAGAGGGAGCTCAGTCTCACAGGGTGAGGAAAGGCTTTCTTTCTTACACAGTCTGGCACTTCTTCAAAAGCTTAAACACAGAGTTCTATGACCCACCACTTCCACTCCAGTTTATGAAAGAAATGAAAATATATGTCCGTGCAGAAACTTGTATACAAATGCTCATAGCAGCATTATTCATAATAGCGCCAAAGTGAAAACAACACAAATGCTTGTCTACTGATGAGTGGAGAAATAGAACATGGTTTGACCATGCAATGGAATATTATTCAGTCATCAAAAGGAATGAAGTACTCACACGTGCTACAACACAGATGAACTATGAGAATATTATGCTAAGTAGAAGAAACCAGTCACAAAGGTCACATATTATAAGATTTCATTTATATGAAATGTCCAGAACAGGCAAATCTATGAAGACAGGAACCCTGTCTCTACTAAAAATACAAAATTAGATGGGCGTGGTGGCATATCCCTGTAATCCCAGCTACTCGGGAGGCAGGAGAATTGCTTTAACCCGGGAGGCGGAGGTTGCAGTGAGCCGAGATTGTGCCACTGCACTCCAGCCTGTGACAGAGACTCTATCTCAAAAAAAGTAGATTGTCAGGGCTTAGTGGGAGGAGGAAATGGCAGGTACCTGCTCATGGATACAGGGTTTCTTTTGGGGTGATGAAAATGTTTTAAAATTGATCATGATGGTGGTTGCCGAGCTCTGTGAATGCACTGAAACCATTGATTTGTTTACTTTAAATTGGCAAATCATACGGTACCTGAATTATATTTTAATAGTTATATTAAAAAAGTAAAATCTTCCTTGAAGAGATGACACTTAAGGAGAGGCGTAGGGGGTGGGATGAGTTCACTATGTGGAGAAATGAGGAACAGCATTTCAGGGTGAGGAACACCATAGTAAAGTCCCTGAGGTTGATAGGCATAGAGCAGATGTAAGGGACTGTTTTTTTTGAGACGGACTTTCACTCTTGACGCCCAGGCTTGGGTGGAGTGGTGCCGTCCTGGCTCACTGCAACCTCTGCCTCCCGAGTTCAAGCGATTTTCCTGCCTCAGTCTCCCGAGTAGCTAGGATTACAGGTGCCATCCACCACACGTGGCTAATTTTGGGATATTTAGTAGAGATGGGGTTCCACCATGTTGACCAGGCTGGTCTCGAACTCCTGATCTCAGGTGATCCACCCGCCTCAGCTTCCCAAAGTGCTGGGATTACAGGCATGAGCCACTGTGCTCAGCCAGATTTAAGGGACTTTCAAGAAGTTTCTGTGGCTGAAGCCTGCAGGGCAAGCGAGAGAATCAGGAAATGAGGCTGGAGAAAGAGAGGGGCTAGGTCATGGAGGGTCTCACATTAGGGTGTGGAAACTTCACACGAGTGGTCCCACCTTGGGCATCCCACGTAACTACTCTCTGTCCCAGCTTCCCCACTGGTGAAATAAAGGGCTGATGTAGGGATGGACTGAGATAGTGTGTGCTCAGAAAATGTGACCTTTTATCTTTTTTTTTTTTTTTTTCCGAGATGGAATCTCATTCTGTCGTCCAGGCCGGAGTGCAGTGGCGCGATCTCGGCTCACTGCAAGCTCCACCTCCCGGGTTCACGCCATTCTCCTGCCTCAGCCTCCGGAGTACCTAGGACTACAGGCTCCCGCCACCACGCCCAGCTAATTTTTTTGTATTTTTAGTAGAGACGGGGTTTCACCGTGTTAGGGAGAATGGTCTGGATCTCCTAAAGTCGTGATCCGGCCGCCTCGGCCTCCCAAAGTGCTGGGATTACAGGCGTGAGCCCCCGCGCCCGGCCGAGCTTTTATCATTGTTAACCCACACAGCAGAGGGAGCCATTGAAAGTTGAGTGATCTGTTTGGATGCACCTTCTGAAGTGATTGCTTTGGTCCCTGTGAGGAATGCAGATTGTCACAGGGCCAGGGAAAAGCAGAGGCCAGTCTGGAGGCATTTGCAGTCAAACAGCTGGAGGTGATGGTGGCTTGGTTTATGGTGGTGTCAGGAGAGTGGCTGAGCAGTGAAGGATATGAGAAAGATTTAGGAGGTAAAACCCACGTGACTTGGTCACTGAATGTGAGTTGTGTGGGCTGGAGGGAAGGTAGGAAAGAATGAGAAGAAAAACATAAGCAGGTGGGCCCTCCAGCCTAAGGTTACTTGAGGTCCCTTTGTGAAGAGGAGTGTTTGTGTTGATGATGAAGATGTCTAGACTTTGAAAGTCCATTTGCAGGACTTTTTTTTTTTTTTAACAGCCAACAACTCCTCCTTCCCTGTGCCCTAAATATATGAATGTTTTTTGACCTAATTTATCACAGAGGGATGGACGTTCATTTGCTTTAATGAGAAATGCGGAATGCCATTAAGAAAGCATATTAAATTAATCTGGATTGCTGTGAGGGAGTTAAATCTGTTTAGATGTGCATCAGTGTGAGTATAATAGTTTGGTCTCAACCCATTTCTGGACTGTGGCTGCAGGAGGTTGACTCCCAGCTTGCTTTCATTTGAAAGATCCCAGCAACAAGCACATTTGGCATTTCCAGCCAAACCCACTTTGTGCAGCGAAGGAAAAGTTGAGGAGTGCCTCTGTTGTTTTCCCCCAAATCATTAGGCAGAAATGTGGCTGGGAGCTTCATTGCTGATTTTTTCAGTTTTAATATTGCTGTGGAAAGCCTGTACCAACACTCAGCCGTGTTATTCATCCACAGCTCCAGTCTGGGCTGTGATTTGTTTTTCCTTTGAGTGACACAACCTTATTTTCCATTAAGACTCAATGCAAATAGACACTCATGCACCATCACCATCACTCCCCCTGATTGGTGGAGGGAAGTCAATGGAGTGATTCTAGTTTGGTGTTCATATCGGAGGGTTTTATTTATTTATTCTGAGACGGAATCTCTCTCTGTCACCAGGCTGGAGTGCAGTGGCGCGCTCTCGGCTCACTGCAACCTCTGACTCCCTGGTTTAAGCGATTCTCCTGCCTCAGCCTCCCGAGTAGCTGGGCTTACAGGCATGTGCCACCACGCCCGGCTAATTTTTTGTATTTTTAGTATAGACGGGGTTTCACCGTGTTAGCCAGGATGGTCTTGATCTCCTGACCTCGTGATCCGTCCGCCTCGGCCTCCCAAAGTGCTAAGATTATAGGCGTGAGCCACTGCGCCTGGCCTGGAGTTGTTTTTAAAAGCACATTTCTCTCAAATTAACTCCGGGGTGTCCCACTGTGACTAGGGCAAACGTTTGGATTTTCTGGAGGTGGAAAGTCAAACTTCAAATAGAATTTGGAGGCTGCCACTGTGGTTCATGCCTGTAATCCCAGTACTTTGGGAGGCTGAGGTGGGTGGATCATTTGAGGCCAGAAGTTCGAGACCAACCTGGGCAACATGATGAGGCCTTGTTTCTACTAAAAATACAAAAATTAGCTAGGTGTGATGGTACATGCCTGTAATCCCAGCTACTTAGGAGGCTGAGGCAGGAGTTATTGCTTGAACCTGGGAGGCAGAGATGTCATGTGTCCAAATCCCATGAGGCGTATCAGCTGGCTGAAGATAAAATCGGTCACGCTGTGTTGAGATTGGGGTTGCTGTTATCATCCCTCATCCCCACCCCTGCTAGGCATCCACAAACAGTCATCTTCAATGAGACATCCCTCCTGCCCCTGGCTGCCTTATTTCATCTGCACCCAACCATATCCATTGCTTGTCAGTGGGTCTCAACCTTGGCTGCACCTTGGAATCTCCTGGGGAGATGAAACAATACCAAGGCTCTCTCTCACTCAGCATGATGTTTCCAAGGTCCATCCACATGTAGTAGGCACCAATACTTTCATTGTATGGATACAGCACATTTTGTTTATTCATTCATCAACCAAATGACCATCTTTGTTGTTGCTACCTTTTGGTTATTATATATATTACATGATTCCATTTATGTGAAAGGTCCAGAATAGGCAAATCTGTAGAGGCAGAAAGCAGGTAAGTGGTTGCCAGGAACTGGGGGAAAGGGGAGGGGATGGAGAGTGCTTGATTGGATACAGGGTTATTTTTTGGGGGGGCGGGGGGTGTTAATGAAAATGTTTTGGAACTAGACAGAGATGATGATTGCTTAACATTGTGAATGTATTTAATGATACTGAAGTATATGGTTTCATACAGGGACTTGTGTGTTATGTGAATTTTGCCTCACGAAAAAAATACTGCTAGGAGCAATGGCTCATGCCTGTAATCCCAGCACTTTGGGAGGCCAAGGCGGGCGGATCACCTGAGGCTGGGAGTTGGAGACCTGCCTGGCCAACATGGTGAAAACCTATCTCTATTAAAAATACATAAATTATCCCTTCACATCTTTGGGGGGTAATTTTTACAATGCAGTCTAACAACCAGCTGCCTCAAAATGAACTGGGATCCCTCGTAACCAGGTAGCTCCCCCGTCTCCAACTCTGACCTGCCAAGTCAGAATCTTGTGGGTGGGGCCGAGGACTGTACATATTGAAACAGGCAGTAACCTGGGAACTATTTCTGAACACCCCTATGTTTCCCCTGTGTTTGCTCTTTCCTTTCACATTTGGACCCCCTTTTGTGCTGACCACTGGCCTGTTTCACGTAGACATAACATAAATAAGACAGGCCAGGTGCAGTGGCTCATGCCTGTAATCCCAGCACTTTGGGATGCCGAGGTAAGCGAATCACTTGAGGCCAGGAGTTCAAGATCTGTCTGGCCAACATGACGAAACCCCATCTCTACCAAAAATATGAAGTTAGCTGGGTGTGGTGATGTACACCTTTGATCCCAGCTACTCAGGAGGCTGAGGCTGGAGAATCCCTTGAGCCCAGGAGGCAGAGACTGCAGTGAGCTGAGATAGCACCATTGCACTCCAGCCTGGGTGACAGTGAGACTCTTTAAAAAAAAAAAAAGAAAAAGATAGTCATTCCTTTATGGAGCTCTCAGTAAAACAAGAAAGCTCACGATGTCCTGGCATTTGTCAGAAATACATTTGGTATATGTAGCTAGGGTCACATGCTTGACATGCCTATTGAAAGCTTCTGGGTAGGAAGAGAACAATCAACACAGCATCACAGCCTGGCATAACTGTCTCCCAGGACAGGTCTCCCTGGGGAGACTGAGACCACACCTCTGAAATCAGAGCTCAAATCCAGGTTCTACATTTCGCTCAGTAATGTACATGATGTAGGACAGTTTTTTTTTTTTTTTTTTTTTTTTTTTGAGACGGAGTCTCGCTCTGTCGCCCAGGCTGGAGTGCAGTGGCGGGATCCCGGCTCACTGCAAGCTCCGCCTCCCGGGTTCACGCCATTCTCCTGCCTCAGCCTCCCAAGTAGCTGGGACTACAGGCGCCCGCCACTACGCCCGGCTAATTTTTTTGTATTTTTAGTAGAGACGGGGTTTCACCGTTTTAGCCGGGATGGTCTCGATCTCCCGACCTCGTGATCCGCCCGCCTCGGCCTCCCAAAGTGCTGGGATTACAGGCGTGAGCCACCGCGCCCGGCCAGGACAGTTTTTATATTAGTTATCTATTGCTGTGCAACAATATTACTGCAAACTTTGTGGCTTGAGACAGCAGACAGTTATCACTGCATGGTTTCTGTGGGTCAGGAATCCAGGCGTGACTCAGCTGGGTTCAGTGCAAGGCTGCAACCATAGTGTCAGCCAGGGCTCAGTTCTCATCTGGAGGCTTGACTGGTGATTGATCTGCTTCCAGGCTCATCTGGTTGTTGGCAGCATTCAGTTCCTTGCAGGCTGCTGGACTCAGGGCCCCAGTTTGTTGATGCCCTCAGCTTTTTGCCAAATGGGCCTCTCCATCTGGCCGCTCATGACATGGCAGCTCACATCTTCAAAGCCAGCGAGACAGACAGCCTCCTAGCCAGACAACTTAACATCCTATCTAACATAATCACTACATCCCATCACCTCTGCCATATTCTCTTGGTTATAAGAAAGTCGTAGGTCCCTTTGTCAGACGAGTAGATTGCAAAAATTTTCTCCCATTCTGTAGGTTACCTGTTCACTCTGATGGTAGTTTCTTTTGCTGTGCAGAAGCTCTTTAGTTTAATTAGATCCCATTTGTCAATTTTGGCTTTTGTTGCCATTGCTTTTGGTGTTTTAGACATGAAGTCCTTGCCCATGCCTATGTCCTGAATGGTATTGCTGAGGTTTTCTTCTAGGGTTTTTATGGTTTTAGGTCTAACATTTAAGTCTTTAATCCATCTTGAATTAATTTTTGTATAAGGTGTAAGGAAGGGATCCAGTTTCAGCTTTCTCCATATGGCTAGCCAGTTTTCCCAGCACCATTTATTAAATAGGGAATCCTTTCCCCATTGCTTGTTTTTGTCAGGTTTGTCAAAGATCAGACAGTTGTAGATGTGTGGCATTACTTCTGAGGGCTCTGTTCTGTTCCATTAGTCTGTATCTCTGTTTTTGTACCAGTACCATGCTGTTTTGGTTACTGTAGCCTTGTAGTATAGTTTGAAGTCAGGTAGTGTGATGCCTCTAGCTTTGTTCTTTTGGCTTAGGATTGACTTGGCAATGTGGGCTCTTTTTTGGTTCCATATGAACTTTAAAGTAGTTTTTTCCAATTCTGTGAAGAAAGTCATTGGTAACTTGATGGGGATGGCATTGAATCTATAAATTACCTTGGGCAGCATGGCCATTATCATGATATTGATTCCTCCTAGCCATGAGCATGGAATGTTCTTCCATTTGTTTGTATCCTCTTTTATTTCATTGAGCAGTAGTTTGTAGTTCTCCTTGAAGACGTCCTTCATGTCCCTTGTAAGTTAGATTCCTCGGTATTTTATTCTCTTTGAAGCAATTGCGAATGGGAGTTCACTCATGATTTGGCTCTCTGTTTGTCTGTTATTGGTGTATAAGAATGCTTGTGATTTTTGCACATTGATTTTGTATCCTGAAACTTTGCTGAATTTTGGTATTTTTAGTAGACATGGGGTTTGCTGAATGCAGCCCCCAGTCACGTACTCCCTGCTTGGTCAATAGATCAAGACCCCCTCATGTAGACCCCCTTAGAGTTGTGAGCCCTTAAAAGGGACAGGAATTGCTCACTTGAGGAGCTGGGTTGTTAGAGACATGCACCACCATGCCCAGCTAATTTTTTTATTTTTAGTAGAGACGGGGTTTCACCATGTTGGTTGGCCAGGATAGTCTCGATCTCTTGACCTCCTGATCCACCCACCTCGGCCTCCCAAAGTGCTGGGATTACAGGCGCGAGCCACTGCACCCAGCCCAGAGAAGGCTTTTCATACTTGCTTCACAGCCTCCTGCATCCTACCCCAGCACCAGGCACTCACCACCTGTGGGCTGCGCTCATCTGTGATCATCTCTCCCCAGGCCTGCTGTTCCTCGAGAAAGGAAGTTGTAACGGGCAGAGTTCTAGGACAGCCCCCAAGAGACCCACTCCCTTATATCTGCTCCCTGTATCATCTCCTCTTCTTGAGTGTGTGCAGAGCTTGTGATTTGACCAAGAGGAAGGAATTTTGCAAATGTGATTATGGTCACACTTGCTTTGTTAAGCACATTTGCTCAGCTGACTTTGAGTTCATCCAAAGCAGGATGATCTTAGGTGGGCCAGACCTAATCAGGTGAATCTTTTAAAGGTGAAGTTTCAGAGATTGAACCCTTAGCCTCCAAGGAGACACAAATGGCCATGCTGTGAGCTGTCTTTGGAGGTGGCAGCTCTAGGAGTTGAGGGCCTTCATTCAACAATTGTAAGTAATCGAATTCAGTTCACAGACTGAATAAGCTTGGAAGAAGACACTGAGCATCCGATGAGACCCCAGCTCCAACTGACACTCTGGTTGCCGTATTGTGACCCTGAATAGAAGACCCAGTTAAACCCTGCCCAGACCCTTGGCTCATGAAAACAGATAATAACTGGGTGGTGTTTTAAGCTGCTCAGTTTGCACTGGTAAATCCACCAATAGGAAAGTAATATAGAAGTTAAATGGGCCGGACGTGGTGGCTCATGCCTGTAATCCCAACACTTTGGGAGGCTAAGGTGGGTGGATCACAAGGGCAAGAGATGGAGACCATCCTGGCCAACATGGTGAAACCCCGTCTCTACTAAAAATATAAAAATTAGCCAGGCGTGGTGGCATGCACCTGAAGTCCCAGCTACTCAGGAGGCTGAGGCAGGAGAATCACTTGAACCCAGGAGGTGGAGGTTGCAGTGACCCGGGACCATGCCACTGCGCTCCAACCTGGGCAACAGAGAGAGACTCCATCTCAAAAAAAAAAAAAATTTAAACGAATACTTTTGACAGTTGATGGAAGTTACTTTCATTCCCTCTTACTTAATCATCTTTATCTTAGCCCTGAAAGAGGGATGCTTTAACCCCATTTGTAACAAGTGAGTCTCAGGCCCAGGAAAGTGATAGAATTTAGCAAAGTCCACCTTGCCACCTGGTGGCCCCAGCTAGAACTTAGCCCCAGGTCCATATACCTAAAGTCATTACAACATACACTGAAATTTTGCCCCTCTCTCCATGCCTTCCTCTTTGGAAGCCTGTTCCTTCAGGGATAGATCCCAACCCAGTGTTACAAGGTACTGAACTCTGATTTTCACAAAATATAGTAACTACCCCCCAAAATTAATAATAGTATTTTTGAGCCAGGCACGGTAGTTCATGCCTGTAATCCCAACACTTTGGGAGGCTGAGGTGGGCGGATCATGAGGTCAAGAGATCGAGAGCATCCTGGACAACATGGTGAAACCCCGTCTCTACTAAAAATACAAAAATTAGCTGCGAGTGGTGGCAGGCGTCTGTAATCCCAGCTACTCGGGAGGCTGAGGCAGGAGAATAGCTTGAACCCAGGAGGCAGACTTTGCAGTGAGCTGAGATTGCACCACTGCACTCCAGCCTGGCAACAGAGCAAGACTCTGTTTCAAAAAAAAAAAAAAAAAAACAAAACTATTTTTGAGTCTTTATGTGTCAACCACTGGGCTATCCCAAAACCAATAGATATTACGATTATTAGTTTTTCCATTTTATTGATGAGGAAACCAACACATATAAACATAAAGGAACTTGCCAAAGGTGACGGTCACACAGCCAAAGAACTGTAGAAGCAGCACAGGCATCCCAGCAAACTCACAGCCAAGCTCTGCTTTTCACCTTCACATCATACTGTCCTCAGACTAAAACCCTAACCCTGATCTTCCCAATCAAAAATCATACTCAAGGATGGGCGTGGCAGCTCACGCCTGTCATCTCAGCACTTTGGGAGGCCAAGGCAGGTGGGTCACCTGAGGTCAGGAGTTCCAGACCAGCCAGGCCAACATGGTGAAACCCCATCTCTATTAAAAATACAAAACTTAGCCAGGCACAGTGGTGGGTGTCTGTAGTCACAGCACTTTGGGAGGCTGAGGCATGAAAATCACTTGAATCCAGGAGGCATAAGTTGCAGTGATCCATGATCATGCCACTGCACTCCAGCCTGGGCAAGAGAGTGAGACTCTGTCTCAAAAAAAAAAAAAAAAAAAATTGTGCTTAATAATAACTTGGAAGTGCACATATCTTCTGTGAAGTTTGATGGACAACAATTAGCTTCAAAACACAAATAAGTAACTGTGTTTAAATGAGGCCTTCTGTGTAATAGCTAGGGAAAATCAATGTAGCTATTCATATTTTGATTCCCCTTCCAGGCACAGAGAAGTTGTCCATGTCTCTGTGATCTGTTTTGTCCAATGAACCATGAGCAAGAGCAACTTGAGTCACCTCCAGGTGGAAGTGTTAAGAGGCTGTGTGATCCACCACATTCCCTTTCCCCTGAAGTGGAGATCAAGGACACATGCAGAGATGGGGCTTTTGTCAGCCTGGATCCCTGAGTGAACACAATGAACAGAACACTCCACAATGCCCTAACACAGCCCAGACATGCAACGTGACCAAGAATAAGCCTCACTGTGGCCAGGCATGGTGGCTCATGCCTGTCATCCCAGCACTTTGGGAGGCCAAGGCGGGTGGATCATTTGAGGTCAGGAGTTCAAGATCAGCCTGGCTAACATGGTGATATCCTGTCTCTACTAAAGTACAAAAATTAGCGAGACAGTAGTGGCACAGGCCTGTAATCCCAGCTACTCAGGAGGCAGGAGAATCGCTTGAGTCTGGGAGGCAGAGGTTGCAGTGAGCTGAGGTTGCACCATTGCACTCTAGTCTGGGTGACAGAGTGAGACCCTGTCTCAAAAAACAAACAAACAAACAAACAAATACCTCACTGCATGGATCCACTGAGATTTGGGGATTGTTGTTACTGCACCAGAACCCAAATCATCCTGACCGCTAGACTGTCCTAACTAGGGTTTCTTACCAAAAGCAAAGGCATTTTTAAAGTTCATGACATTTAAACAAAAGAGCAAATACCAATATCTGCCACTTTGTCAGGCTAACAAACCCAAAGAAAGCCAACAGCCAGAAGTTAAAAGAAACAGATCATTAGGTTGAAAACAGAACTGTCAAAACAGGCACAATTGACTTCATTTAGTGATTGCAAAGAACATCAGGCAAGACACAGGTGTGGTCATCATATCATTTATCACATGCTTAATTGCACATGTTTGACTAAGAAAAACACAAAGTATTTAAACTCATCTGTAGTTCAAAGTGCCTATCCATGTATTTATCCATTCATCCGGATTTATTTATTGAGCAACTCTTTTGTGCCAGGCACTGTGCTGGGTGGTGGTAATGCAATGATGAAGATGGCAGACACAGCTCTGCCCTCCAGGAGTTTCTAGGGTATGGAGGGAGACAAAAAATAAGTAAATCCATGAAAGAACTATTGATGGAACCTGCCCCCAATATTTCAACATAGGTTCTTTCTATTTTCCTTAAGTGTCAGCCAGCTGAGAAATAAAGAGAGACACTACAAAGAGAGGAATTTTACAGCTGGGCCGCTGAGGGTGACACTACATATCAGTAAGTCCGTGATGCCTGCTGAGTCTCAGACCAGCAAGTTTTTATTAAGGGTTTCAAAATGGGAGGGGCTGTAAGAACAGGGAGTAGGTACAAAGATCATATGCTTCAAAGGGCAAAAAGCAGAACTACTACTAAGGGTCTAAGAAAGATCACATGCTTCTGAGGGAACAGGACAAAGGGCAAAAGCAGAACTACTGATAAAGGTCCAGCAAAGATCACAAAGCAAAGGGCAAATGCAGAACCACCAATAAGGGTCTATGTTCAGTGGTGCATGTATTGTCTTAATAAACATCTTAAACAACAGAAAACAGGGTTTGAGAGCAGAGAACCAGTCTGACCACAAATTTACCAGGGCAGAGTTTTTCCCCACCCTAGTAAGCCTTTGGGTACTGCAGGAGACCAGGGCGTATCTCAGTCCTTATCTCAACTGCATAAGACAGACATTCCCAGAGCAGCCATTGATAGACCTCCCCCCAGGAATGCATTCCTTTCCCAGGGTATTAATATTAATATTCCTTGCTAGGAAAAGAATTTAGCAATGTCTGTCCTACTTGCACGTCCATTTATAGACTCCATGCAAGAAGAAACATATGGCTCTTTTTGCCCAACCCTGCAGGAAGTTAGACCTTATGGTTGTCTTCCCTTGTTCCCTAAAAATTGCTGTTATTCTCTTCTTTTTCAAGGTGCACTGATTTCATATTGTTGAAACACACGTTTTACAATCAATTTGTACAGTTAACACAATTATCACAGTGGTCCTGAGGTGATGTACATCCTCAGCTTATGAATATAACAGGATTAAGAGATTAAAATAAAGACAGGCATAAGAAAGTATAAAAGTATTATTTGGGAACTGATAAATATCCACGAAATCTTCACAATTTATGTTCCTCTGCCATGGCTTCAGCCAGTCCCTCCATTTGGGGTCCCTGAGTTCCCGCAACAAGAAATAATGAGGTTAAGGTGGAGAAGAGCAGGGAAGTCCACTTTATAAAGGGGTCAGGAAAGAGCTGTCTGGAAGCATCATTTTAGCTGAGACCTAAAGGATGGTCTAATTTGGGGAGGTGCAGAGGAAAATCATTCCAGGCTGAAGCAGCAAGTGCAAAGGCCCTGTCGTGGAGAGAGGTTTGAAAATCGAAGAAAACAAAAGGAGGCCAGAGTGGCTGAAATAGAGTAGGCCAAGGGGAGGAGATAGGAGAGAGCTGGAGAGGTGGCAGGAACAGGCAGAAGACTCTATGTGCCATGGGCAGGAAAGGCAGGGATGAGACTCAATGGACACCTTAAGATCACTGAAGCTGCTAGGTAGGAAATGGATTGCTGAGCATGGAGAGCAGGTGCAGAGGACCAGTTAAGACCAGTTAGGAGGCTGCTGCTGTAGCCCAGCTGGGATAGCAGTGTCCTAGGCAAAGATAATGACAGTTAAGATAGAGAGAGTGGACAAGTTGGATAAAGTTTAGAATCACAGGACTTCTGACTGGAGAAGAGGGCAAAAGCAGAGTTACCACAACACATGAGTTATGACCACCTTGAGCAGCTCAGCAGGGGATGGTGCCATTTACAGAACAGAGATGGCATGGACAGAGCCCATGGAGAAGGAGGAGGAAAAAGAGTTTTGCTTTTGTTTTTTTTTTTAAGACAGGGACTCTGGCTCTGTCACCCAGGCTGGAGTGCATTGGTGCAATCATAGCTCTTTGCAGCCTCAAACTCCTGGGCTCAAGTGATCCTCCTGCCTCAGCCTGCCATGTAACAGGACTACAGATCCTACAGATGCACTTTACCATGCCTAGCCTTTTTTTTTTTTTTTTTTTTTTTGGAGATAGGGAGTCTCACTGTGTTTTCCAGGCTGGCTTCAAACTCCTGACGTCAAGTAATCCTCCCACCTCAGCCTCCCATAGCACTGGGATTACAGCCATCACCTACCACTCCAAGCCATGAGTTTGGCTTTGGATTTAACAAGGTTGAGTTGTTCATGAGTTGACAAGTGGAAAAAACAAGAAAGAAGTTGAGTGTTTAAGACTGCTGTTTGAAGGAGAAGTCTAGCCTCAAGACAAAAGTTCAGGACTCATCAGCTGAGAAATGGCACTGAAAATTATGCAAATGGATGAGCTCAGCTAGCAAACAAGTCCAGAGAGAGCAGAAAGTCCAGAGAGAGCAGCACTGGGCTATGCACCTGGCCTAATGCTTCCCCGCTCCTCCCAATCCCTGTGTTATGCTGGAGAGGGTTCAGCCTCTGGTGAGTTTCACCAAACCGCCACATCTCTTTCTTCTGAGACCTTCTCTAAAATCCCCTCTTTTATACTTAGTGAAATGGGATTCTCTTTTTCCCATCCAGCTTAAGCAAAAACTTTTGACTATGAGAAGAATGAGGATGCATTTAGTATCTGTTCTGCATGGCTAATTCCATCAAAGATTTCTCATTATTCATGCCTGGCAGTCTCATTTTCTTCTTTTGCCTCTAAGAGCACAGTCGTAGCCTTAATTACTGACCTTTTCACCCTTCTAATACCAGCGATTTCCCCCATCTCAGTTCTCAGGAATTTCTGTTCGCAGAATTATCTCCTGAATCCTCACCTGGAGATAGAAAGTGATCTCTGTGGCCATTTCTTCCCCCTCTAATTCTTATCAAAAAACTCAGTGATCTCTGTGCATCAAATATTAAACTCAAGCTTAACAGATCATGATTCTGGCTTGTCTCTCTCTCCGGCCTGTGGGTTAACAGGTTTGCAACCTTTGCAGAGAAGACACCAAATTCTCAGGAGGCCAGAGTTTCCAAGGGTACTGGTCACTCTTGCTCTCTTTCTCCTGCTCAAAATTCAGCACTAGACTGTGTTACACCATTGCACCTGCAGAGGAGTTCATCTGACTCTAGGGACTACAGAGGAAAGAGATGGACAAACAAACAGGCATTCAGAAAATGACTACCACAATGGGGAAGAAAATGAAAGTCAAACCAAATAATCAATGGTCAAAAAAAAAAAAAAAAATCTAGAGGCCAGCTGCAGTGGCTCACACCTGTAATCCCAGAACTTTGGAGGCTGAGGCAGGTGGATCACTTGAGATCAGGAGTTCGAGACCAGCCTGGGCAACATAGTGAAATCACATCTCTACTAAAAATACAAAAAAATTAGCCAGATGTGGTGGCGGGCACCTGTAATCCCAGCATTTTGGGAGGCTAAGGTGGGTGGATCACCTGATGTCAGGAGTTTGAGACCAGCCTGGCCAACATGGTGAAAGCCTATTTCTATTAAAAAATAGAAAAATTAGCCAGGTGTGGTGGCAGGTGCCTGTAATCCCAGCTACTTGGGAGGCTGAGGCAGGAGAATTGCTTGAACCCAGGAGGCAGAGGTTGTGGTGAGCAAAGATTGCACCACTGCACTCCAGCCTGAGCAACAGTGAGACTTTGTCTCAAAAAAAAAAAAAAAAAAAAAACCAACCTAGAGATGTCCATCCAGGCTAAAGAGAATATTCCAGAGCAGAGGTTGGGACACTATGGCCCATGGTCCAAATCTGACCTGCCTGCACATGTTTTTGTCAATAAAGTTTTATTGAAACACAGCCATGACCATTTGCTACATATTGTCTATGGCTGCTGGATTAGGTTGTTCTCTCATGCTATAAAGAAATACCTGAGACTGGGTAATGTATAAAGAAAAGAGTTTTAATTGGCTCACAGTTTTGTAGGCTGTACAGGGAGCATGACACTGACATCTGCTGAGCTTCTGTGGAGGCCTCAGGAAACTTACAATGATGGCAGAAGGTGAAGTGGGAGCAAGAGAGTAAGGAGGGAGGTGCTACACACTCGTAAACAACCAGATCTTGCAAGAACTCACTCACTATTGCAAGGACAGGACCAAAGGGATGATGGTAAATCATTCATGAGAAATCCACCCCCATGATCCAATCTCTTCCCACCAGGCCCCACCTCTAACACTGGGGATTACATTGCAACATGAGATTTGGGCGGGGACACATATTCAACCTATATCAGCTGCTTTCATGCTATGGGTGGCAGAGTTGATTAACTGCTACAAGAGACTGTATGGCCCACGAATTCTAAAATATTTACTATCTGATGCTTTGAAGTAAAAGCTTGCAAACCCTGCTTTTGAAAAGGAAGGGAAGGAAGAGGAGAGGAGGAAGGCAGGAAGGAGCAGAGAGGGACACGAGGCTGTATTCAAACATCTGTTGTTAAGAAAGATAAATTCAATTTATTTGGCATGGTCCAAGTTATCAAACTAGGAGCACTCCATCGAAGTTTCAGAACAAACACTGTGCTGAATATAAGGATAACCCCATCTGTAATGCCTAACCTTGTTTTTATTAACTTTGTTCTTAGACTTTCCTTTTCTTTTAATCACTTAGCCTTGTTTCTACCTGAATTGACTTTCTTTTAGCTAAGAGAGCTAGACAGACTTTATCTTGGCTTTTTCACTGGCAGCCCCTTCCTCAAGGACTTAACTTGTGCAAGCTGACTCTTAGCACCTCTAAGAGTGCAATTAACTGATAAGATACTGTGGCGAGCAATATCCGCAGTTCCTAGGAATTTGTCCGATTGATAATGCCTAAAGCCCCACGTCTATCACTTTGTAATAGTCTTAAAGCCCTTGACCTAGAACTGTTTACTTTCCTGTAACAATTTATCCTTTTAACTTTTTTGCCGACTTTACTTCTGTAAAATTCTTTTAACTAGACCCCTTTCCCCTTTCTAAACTGAAGTATAAAAGAAAATCTAGCCCCTTCTTCGGGGCCAAGAGAACTTTAAGTTAGCCATCTCTTGGCTGCCAGCTAAATAAACAGACTTAATTCATGTCAAAGTGTGGCATTTTCTCTAACTCGCTCAAGTACAACATTTGGAGGCCCGAGCGAGAAACGCCACCAGGCGAGAGCCGGGCTCGCTCCGGGCTCCCCCGGAAGGACAGCCGGCTTGTAGGGGGGGTGCCACCTGAAAAATAATTTTCAGGTCCCCAAAAGGTGACCGTCTTCCAGAGGAGAGCGGATCGACTACCGTGTGGATGCCCACAAAAATTCCACCTCTGAGTCCTCAACTTCTGACCCCGAGGTCAGGTAGGTCAGATTTGATTTCAGTTCTAGTAAGAGGGAAGCGGCCCTGATGAGGGCATCCCTCTTTTGACTCTGCCCGTTTCTCTAGGACGCTAGAAGGTAGAGCCCTGTTTTTCTGTTAGGCACCTCTGTGTCTCTTTCTAGGAGGGAAGTGGCCCTGACAGGGGCCCTCTCTTGACTCAGTCCACATCCCAGGATGCTGGAGGACTGAGTCCTGGTTTCTGGCAGACCGATCACTCTCTCTCTCTCTCTCTCTTTTTCTATCTCTCATCTTTCTCTTGTTCCAGTTTCTTGAAGAATCTCCAAGAAAGAAAAAAAAACTGTTATAAACTCTTTGTGAATAATGAATGAATGAGGGAGGACAAGGGCTTGCGCTTGTCCTCCAGTTTGTAGCTCCACGGCGAAAGCTACGGAGTTCAAGTAGACCCTCACCTGCGGTTCCTTGGCGACCTCATAAGGCTTAAGGCAGCATCAGGCATAGCTCGATCTGAGCCGGAAGTTTATACCGGCCTGCCAATGCTAAGAGGAGCCCAAGTCCCCTCAGGGGGAGCGGCCAGGCAGGCATCTGACTGATCCCATCACAGGAACCACTCCCCTTGTCTGTCTAAAAAAAAAAAAAAAAAAAAAGGAAGAAACTGTCATAACTGTTTACATGCTGTAAAGTCAATTGTTTGCCTTATGTTGATTGTTCTGTTCAGTTTCTATTGTCTTGTTAGTAGTTGTGAAAGTTTTGCATGTCAGGACGGTGATATTGCCCAAGACGTCTAAGTAAAAACTTCTTCAAAGTCCTTAGTGCTGATTTTTTGTCACAGGAGGTTAAATTTCTCATCAATCATTTAGGCTGGCCACCACAGTCCTGTCTTTTCTGCCAGAACCAAGTCAAGTGTTGTTACAAGAACAAGTGTGAAAAACATTTTCCTGATTAAGATTTCTAGCACCATGAAAGTTCTAAGTATTTAGATCGTCATACTCCACGTCCAAGTGATTAGACCTCCTCTAAACTAAACCAGTAGTGAGTTCAAAACAGCCACCCTGCAGATTTCCTTGCTCACCTCTTTTATCATTCTGTAACTTTTCCTGTGTCCTTAAGTAGAACACTGTGTAAAGAAACGTACACCCGTACTGCTTTACTTTGTTTAGATTCTTACTCTGTTCCTCTGTGGCTACTCTCCCACCTTAAAAATGATCCGAGTAGTCCTTTTCCACCTCGTCCCTGTCCCCTACCCCGCACATCTCGTTTTCTGGTGCGACAGCAAGTTCAGCGTCTCTAGGACTTGGCTCTGCTCTCACTCCTTAAACCCTTAAAAGAAAAAGCTAAGTTTAAGCTATTTGCCTTTAAGTCATAAAGACACCAAAAGTACTTAAAGTGCAGATCTAGAAGAAGAAGAAGAAGAACGCCTAGATCAAACTGACCCAGAAGATCTCAGGCTGGCTCTAGTCCTCCTCCCTCAATCTTAAAGCTACAGTAATGTAGCAAGTAGTATTAGCTGTTGTAGTTTTTCTGCTCTTTCTAGTCATGTTGCTTCTGTTCTTTCACTACTCTAGTCCCCCAAGAAATAAGTTTCTCTGTCCATGCTAAGTCTATGCTCAAATCTTATTAAATTGCCTTCAAAAAAAAAATAAGAAACACTTCCTCCCAGCCTTATAAAGTTAAAGCCCTCTCCAATGTATGCTGCAGAATTTTCCTCTCAGTTCCTCAGAGGATTATAAAGTCCGCCTTAAAAAAGGCAAGCTCCAGACACTGTGCAAAATAAAATGGCCAAAGTTTAAAGTCAAGTGGCCCCCTGAAGGGTCATTGAACCTCACAATTGTTCAAGCTGTGTGGCAGGTTGTTACTGAAACTCCTAGCCACCCTGATCAGTTTCCCTACATTGATCAATAGCTAAGATTAGTCAGGATCCCCCCTCCATGGCTCCATTCATGCGCCATTCATAATTCTACCTCCAAGGTCCTCCTAAGCCAGACCGCGTTTTCGCCTCCACCCTCAGCCGGTTCAGCTTCCCCTGTACTGCCTCCCTCTGAAGAAGGGGGGAGTCTCCCTCACCCAGTCCCACCGCCTTACAACCAGCCTGCTCCCTTAAAGTTATCCCATGTCTCCTCGACGACGTCCCCTGTAGGCTCGCCACCCATTGCCTCTCAATCATGACCGTGGCAGGCAGGAAGAAGTAGCCCCTCTACTACCACTGAGAGAGGAACAAGTCCCTCCAGGTGACGAGCGCTCAGCACCCTTCTTAGTTTGTGTCCCTTTTTCTGCTTCTGACTTATATAATTAGAAAACTTATAATCCTCCCTTCTCTGAAAAGCCCCAGGCTTTGACCTCTCTGACAGAGTCTGTACTCCGGACTCACTCACCCACCTAAGATGATTGCCAACAGCTCCTTTTAACCCTTTTCACCTCTGAAAAGAAAGAACGTATCTGAAAAGAAGCCAAAAAGTACTTCCTCACATCAGCCAGTGGACCGGAAGGAGAAGCTAGAGACCTCCTTGAGGAGGTCTTTCCCTCTACCCAGCCTAACTGGGACCCAAATTCCTCAAGTAGAAAGGGAGCTTTAGACGATTTTCACCGGTATCTCCTCGCAAGTATTAAAAGAGCCGCTCAGAAACCCATAAACTTGTCTAAGACGACCGAAGTTGTCCAAAGGCCCGATAAGTCACCAAGAACGTTTTTAGAGCGCCTCCAGGAGGCTTATCAGACTTACACCCCTTTTGACCCGGCAGCTCCCGAAAATAGCCGTGCTCTTAATTTAGCATTTGTGGCTCAGGCAGCCCCGGATATTAAAAAGAAACTCCAAAAACTAGAAAGCTTTGCTAGAATAAATATCAGTCAGCTTTCAGAAATAGCCCAAAAAGTTTTTGACCATCAAAAGTTTAAAAAACAAAAACAAGCAACACAGGCAGCTGAAAAGGCTGCTGATAAAGCATTCAAAAGACAAACAAAAATCTTAGTGGCAGCTATCCAAGAAGTACAGAATGAAATATCCCGTTAATTTAGCATTAACTGAAGCCCCTGCTTTAGCCCTCCCCAATGTCTCCATAAAAGCCAAAGAGTTGCTAAAGACGTGCCTTACTCAGACTCTAATACCCTAAAGATGCCCAGTGGTCTATCTAAGAGGCTAGATCCTGTGGCCTGTAGATGGCCAAGTTGTCTGCGAGCCTTAGCGGCTATAGCAAGCCTGGCCCAAGAAGATGATAAGTTAACTCTAAGCCAAAATTTAACCCTTACAGCTCTTCATGCCATAAAGACCTTACTACAAAATGCTTCTGGCAAATAGATGTCAAATGCTCGCATCTTGCAGTATCAAAGTTTACTGTTAGATCAGCCTCGTTTGACTTTCTCTCCCTCAAAGTGTTTCAATCCAGCTACACTACTTCCTGACTCAGACTGCACTATTCCTGCTCATGACTGTCAAGAACTGTTAGAAACTATCAAAACTGGCTGCTCTGATCTTCAAGATGTGCCCCTAGAAGAGGCAGATGCCTCCGTGTTCACAGACAGTAGCAGCTTCCTCAAGCAGGAAGTATGAAAAGCCAGTGCAGCTGTTACCACGGAGACAGATGTGTTGTAAGCTCAAGCTTTACCAGCGAACACCTCCGCACAAAAGGCTGAATTGATCGCCCTCACTCAGGCTCTCCAATAAAGTAGAAAAAACGTATTAACATTTACAGTGACAGCAAGTACACCTTTGCTACTGTGCATGTACGTAAAGCCATCTACCAGGAAAGCAAGCTACTCACCTCAGCAGGTAGCTGTGATCCACTGCAAAGGACATCAAAAAGAAAACACAGCCATTGCCCACAGTAAACAGAAAGCTGATTCAGCAGCTCAGGTCGCAGCGAGACTTTCAGTCACGCCTCTAAACTTGCTGCCCACAGTCTCCTTTCCACAGCCAGATCTGCCTGACAATCCCGTATACTCAACAACAAAAAAACTGGCTTCAGATCTCAGAGCCAATAAAAATCAGGAAAGTTAGTAGATTCTTCCTGACTCTGGAATCTTCATACCCTGAACTCTTAAAGAAACTTTAATCAGTTACCTACAGTCTACCACCCATTTAAGAAGAGCAAAGCTACCTCAGCTCCTCCGGAGCCATTTTAAGATCCCCCATCTTCAAAGCCTAACAGATTAAGCAGCTCTCCAGTGCACAACCTGCGCCCACATAAATGCCAAACAAAGTCCTAAACCCAGCCCAGGCCACTGTCTCTGAAAAAACTCACCAAGAAAAAAGAAATTGACTTTACAGAAGTAAAACCACACCAGACTAAGTACAAATACCTTCTAGTACTAGTAGACACCTTCTCCAGATAGACTAAGGCATTTTCTACCAAAAACGAAACCACCAACACAGTAGTTAAGTTTTTACTCAATGAAATCATCCCTCAATATAGGCTGTCTGCTGCCATAAAGTCTGATAATAGAGCAGCCTTCACCTCGCCTATAGCTCAGTCAGTCAGTAAGGCATTAAACATTCAACAGAAGCTCCATTGTGCCTATCAACCCCAAAGCTTCAGGCAAGTAGGAAGCATGAACTACACCCTAAAAAACACTCCTACAAAATTAATCTTAAAAAAATAGTGTAAATTAAGTAAGTCTCCTTCCTTTAGCCCTACTTAAAGTAAGGTGCACCCTTACCCGGCAAATTTCTCACCTTTTGAAATCATGTATAAGAAGGCACCGCCTATCTTGCCTAAGCTAAGAAATGCCAAATTAGCAGAAATATCGCAAACTAATTTGTTGCAGTACCTATAGTCTCTCCAACAGGTACAAGATATCATCCTGCCACTTGTTCGAGGAGCCCATCCCAATCCAATTCCTGACCAAAGTCCTGCCATTCGTTCCAGCCAGGAGACCTAGTGTTTGTTTAAAAGTTCCAAAAAGAAAGACTCGCTCCTGCTTAGAAAAGACCTCACACCGTCATCCTCATGACGCCAATGGCTCTGAAAGTAGACAGCCTTCCTGCTTAGATTCATCACTCCCGCATCAAAAAGGCCAACAGAGCCCAGCTAAAAACATAAGTCCCCAGGCCTAAGTCAGGCCCTTAAAACTGCACCTAAGTCAGGTGAAGCCATTAGATTCATTCTTTTTACTACCTCACTTATTTGTTTTTGCCCGTAACATCCTCTGTGCCTTCCTACTCCTTTCTCCTCACCTCTTTCACAACAGGACATGTATTTGCAAACACCACTTAGAAGGCCAGTACCTCCAAGGAAGTCTCCTTTGCAGTTGATTTATTTGTACTATTCCCAAAGCCAGCCCATACCCACGAAAAGCAACACAATCTGTCGGTCCCAGGAGCAGGAAGTGTCGACCTTGCAGCAAGATTCAGACACTCCAAGAGCCAAACTAAGTGTGGGAGCTCCAAAAGTGCAGAAAAAAGACTCCAAAATATTGGCTTTTACCTCTGTCCTAGAAATCACCCTGATGTTAGCTGTCAAGATACTTATCAGTTTTCCTGCCCTGATTAGACATATGTAACTTTAGCCACCTACTCTAAAAGATCAACCAGATCTTCAACTCTTTCCACAAGTCGTGCTTCTCATCCTAAATTATGTACTAGAAAAATTGTAATCCTCTTACTATAGCTGTCCATGACCTTAATTCAACTCAATAGTATCATGGCATGTCATGAAGATTAAGATTTTATATCCCAGGATTTAATGTTAAGACTATGTTCACCATCCAAAAAAACCCTAGTCTCATAAAGCCCACCCAAGCCAATCAGGCCTTTAACTGATCTAAGTAACCCTATGTTCCAGAAACACCCTGACAAAGTTGATTTAACTGTTCCTCCACCATTCTTAGTCATAAAAGATACACTCCAGAAAGGGCAAGAAAATCTAGATAAGAGCCAACAAGAACAAGAAAATAACATCCCCTAGTATCAAAGCATGTTCAACTAGAACCCAGAGCTAACTATTCTAATTACTAAGTTAGCCAGACCCCCTCCCCATCCTACTATTAAGTCTAATTTTTGGACCTTGTATATTAAATTAGTTTATTAATTTTGTAAAACAACACGTAGCTTCTGTCAAACTTATGTATCTTAAGACTCAATATAACCCCCTTGTTATAACTGAAGAATCAACAATTTGATTCCCCAAAAACACGAGTGAGGAATGTAATGCCCAACCTTGTTTTTACTAACCCTGTTCTTAGACTCTCCCTTTCTTTTAATCACCTAGCCTTATTTCCACCTGAATTGACTCTCCCTTAGCTAAGAGAGCCAGACAGACTCCATCTTGGCTCTTTCACTGGCAGCCCCTTCCTCAAGGACTTAACTAGTGCAAGCTGACTCCCAGCACATCTAAGAATGCAATTAACTGATAAGATACTGTGGCGAGCAGTATCCGCAGTTCCCAGGAATTCCTCCAATTGATAACGCCCAAAGCCCCGCGTCTATCACCTTGTAATAGTCTTAAAGCCCCTAGACCTAGAACTGTTTACTTTCCTGTAACAATTTATCCTTTTAACTTTTTTGCCTACTTCTGTACAATTGTTTTAACTAGACCCCCCTCCCCTTTCTAAACCAAAGTATAAGAGAAAATCTAGCCCCTTCTTTGAGGCCGAGAGAACTTTAAACGTTAGCCATTTCCTGGCCGCCGGCTAAATAAACAGACTCTTAATTCATCTCAAAGTGTGGCATTTTCTCTAACTCGCTCAAGTACAACACATCCAGCAGGCACGAAATCCACTCTAAAATGCTGTCCTGGGATAGTGAAGATGATGTTGCTGGAAATATCCTTACATGGCATGTGGATGAGTTCCCCCAGAGGCATACATGTTGAGCTAAATACTTTGCTGATGAAGGGTACAAGTTGAAGGGGTTTTGAACGGCAGAGTGAGGTTCCTCAGAAGGCTGTTGCTACAGAAAGACAGGAGGAGAAATTACATGGCCAGATAGAGTGGCATGACCATTGGATAAGGACTTTTTGTTTGTTTTTCAGATGGAGTTTTACTCTTGTTGCCCAGGCTGGAATGCAATAGCACGATCTCAGCTCACCGCAACCTACTCCCAGGTTCAAGCGATTCTCCTGCCTCAGCCTCCCTAGTAGCTGGGATTACAGGCATGTGCCACCATGCCCGGCTAATTGTGTATTTTTTGTAGAGATGGGCTTTCTCCATGTTGGTCAGGCTGGTCTTGAACTCCCGACCTCAGGTGAACTGCCCGCCTTGGCCCCCCAAATTGCTGGGATTACAGGCGTGAGTCACCGTGCCCAGCCTGGATGAGGGTCTTTAGCAAAGATGGAAGTTTTGGTACCTTGCAGTTTAGTCTCTTCATTTATGTCCTCCTGAAATCTTCAGGAATAGCACTATTTTGTCAATACTTCTGGGGTCGTACTTAGGGGGACTTAAAGGAGATGTGATGTGGCAGCCTTTGACTCAAGGGAGCATCATACTAGCTCAAAGAGATCTGGGTACATGCCAGTTGAACCAACTCTTCTGAGGATGTGATAGATCCTGGGAGGCCACTCTGATCCCGCCAACCTTGAGGCCAGATGAGTCTTTGAAAAACATGGTTTGGCTTAACACCAGCACTTAGTGGTGTTAATACCCACCATGAATCTTGCTAAACTGAAGCTATACAGATACCTTTTCAAAAGATTTTTTTTCATTCCAGATCCTTCTTAGAAATTCCTAAGGCTCAATGCTGTGTGGAAGGTTCTGAGAAAGAAAATAGTTTCCGATCTTTGGGATTCCCGAGATGGTCCAATCTGCAAAAAGTTCATTGCCATTTCCATCAAGGACACTGAGAACAAGAGTCTTATCTGGATTGGATGCTGGGAATTGAGAAGCTTCAGCAGGTGGGAAATGCACCCTCCACAGGCTCACACCCTTGTGGGCTGTTTCAGTTACCTATTGCACCTAAAATTAGAAACTTTAAACCACAACAAGCCATTATTGCTCATGAACCTGTGAGTTGTATGGGGACTTCCTGGCTGGTTTAACCTGGGCTCATTTGTGTGGCTACCTGCAGCTGGAGGGCCAGCTGGGCGGAACATCCAGGATGGCCTCATGCACGTGCCTGGCAGTTGGTGCTGGTTGTCAGCCGGGGAAACTTGTTTTCCTCCATGTGGCCCCTCGCCCTCCAGAGCCCCTCTCCAAATGGCCCTTTAAGCAGGATAGCCAAGGTTTGCTTGGTGCCAGCATCCAAGAGGGCAAAAATATGGAAACTACGAGAGGGCTCTCAAGGCCTAAGACTATTTGCACCCCAAAAATCTGAGGTCTCAGTTAATTCAGAAAGTTTGTTTTGCCAAGGTTGAGGACGCATGCCTGTGACACAGCCTCAGGAGGTCCTGACAACATGTGCTTAAGGTGGTAGGGACACAGCTTGGTTTGACACATTTTAGAGAGACATGAGACATCAATCAATATGTGTAAGATGTACATTGGTTCAGTCTGGAAAGGCGGGACAACTCCAGGTGAAGGTGAAGGTGAGACAAGGGGAAGGGGCTTCCAGGTCATAGGTAGTTAAGAGACAAATAGTTGCATTCTTTTGAGTTCCTGATTAGCCTCTCCAAATGAGGCAATCAGATATATATTTATCTCAGTGAACAAAGGGGTGACTGAATAGAATGGGAGGCAGGTTTCCCCTAAGCAGTTCCCAGCTTGACTTTTCTCTTTAGCTTAGTAACTTTTTTTTGGGTGGAGGGACAGAGTCTCGCTCTGTTGCCCAGGCTGGAGTGCAGTGGTACGATCTCGACTCACTGCAACCTCCAACTCCAGGGTTCAAGCAATTTCCCTGCCTCAGCCTCCCAAGTAGCTGGGATTACAGGCACCTGCCACCACGCCTGGCTAATTTTCATATTTTTTAGTAGAGACGGGGTTTTGTCATGTTGGCCAGGCTGGTCTTGAACTCCTAACCTCAGGTGATCTGCCCGCCTCAGCTTCCCAAAGTGCTGGGATTACAGGCGTGAGCCACCGAGCCCAGCCTAGCTTAGTGATCTTGGGGCCCCAAGCTTTATTTTCCTTTCACGGCTAGAAGTTGGTCACCATCACTTTGGCAGCATTCCACTGGCCAAAGCAAGTCATAGGCAGCCCAGATTCATGTAGAGGAGTATAAACTCTACCTCTTAAAGGAAAGATTGGTTCAATTACACTGCACGAGCATTTGCAGAAAGTTGTACCCATCTTTGGAAACTACCACACACACACACACACTTTACATGCAACCCTCCCTTGAGGTGCATCTACTTCCAGGCAGAACCAAAACTTGAAAGTACTCGACAGAAGAAAAGTAGTGTCCTAAATGCCAGTTCTCTTCTTACTCAACTTCAGCCTCATTATAAGCAGATTCTAACAGTTTATGTGTCTTAAGAAACATTTTAATTAATCTTTGGAATTTAAGAATTTCAATTCATAGCAGTAGCCTGTGCATAGGAAATACGCATATTGTAAATTTTTCCTTTCTGATAAATCATGCTGGGGGAACCACAATGTAACTTTTTTTTTTTTTTGAGAAGGAGTCTCACTCTGTTGCCCAGGCTGGAGGGCAGGGGCATGATCTCAGCTCACTGCAACCTCCGCCTCCCTGGTTCAAGTGATTCTCCTGCCTCCACCTCCTGAGTAGCTGGGATTACAGGCGCACAAGACGGGGTTTCACCATGTTGGTCAGGTTGGTCTCGAACTCCTGATCTCTGCTCTGCCCACCTCAGCCTCCCAAAGTTCTGGGATTATAGGCGTGAGCCGCCGGCTCACGTATACTGTGACTGTATATTGAAAGTTTCTCTTTTTTTCAAATAATTAACAGGTTTAACAGAATGTATCTCCTGATCTATTCTTTTCACTGCAGACATCTATTGCCTTTTCAGCCTAGCAGCCCTCCCCTCTATAGAGACTCACACTTCCTACTCCACTCATGTGGCTCTCATGGGGGCTGCCATGTTCTCAAATGACTCCACCCCTCTGGCCTCAGTTGATTGGTCCAGGGATGAGCATCTGGCCTAAATTGGCCAATCAGAATTCTTCCCTTGAATATTTTTCCAAACTGGAACTAGACCAAGTTAATCATTCTCTGTGATGACAGGAATTGTGTGTAGTGAGAAATACAGGAGCTTTTGTGGCCACGTTTCTCGCCTTATGGAGAAAAGGCTTGAGTAAGAAGAAATTAAGCCAGTATGCAGACAAAGCTAGAGACAGAGATAGAGAGAGAGATCTTGTGGTAAGCCCCTTGGTTTTTATCATTCTAGTACATGCTTGCTACTGCATACAACCAAGACTTTCACCTGAGGGCTTTCTCAAAGTCAGGCATGGAGTATGTCAGAAAAGCCACAGAAGCCAGGCGCAGTGGCTCACTCCTGTAATCCCAACACTGGGAGGCCGAGGCAGGTGGATCACGAAGTCAGGAGTTCGAGACCATCCTGACCAACATGGCAAAACCCCGTCTCTACAAAAAATTAAAAAATTAGCGGGGCATGGTGGCAGGCACCTGTAATCCCAGCTACTCAGGAATCCGAAGCAAGAGAATCGTTTGAACCTGGGAGGCAGATGTTGCAGTGAGCTGAGATCATGCCATTGCAGTCCAGCCTGGGTGACAGAGCAAGACTATGTCTCAAAAAAAAAAAAAAAAGAAAAGAAAAAAGCAAAGCCAGAGAGTTGATGCCCTGGGACCAGTCCTCAGCAAGTGATGGATGGGAGCCAGGCTATAAATGCTTCAATATCTTTGCCCCCTGGATGGAACAACTTTGAAATGTATTCCACATCACCTCCCAGAGGTCCCCAGTGGGGTCAAATCCTAGTTGCCTGGAGTGGTAAGCTGCTCATTGAAGCCCCCTGTGTGGCCTCCTGCCTTTCCATGAATCAATTCCTCACTCCCCTATTGGTGTTCCCTGGAATCATCTCCTAAATAATCCACTTGCAATCCTGTCCCTCTTTCAGGATCTGCTTGGGGTTGGGGTTGGGGAGTGCAGAGAAAAACATGATCCCTTTTCCACTCCACACTAGTAAGATGAGTTTCTGTCACTGGCAACCAAGAGTTCTGACTCTTACCTCCTGAGATAATTCCTAAAATGTATTTGGGAATTTCCCCACCTCCACCCCACTGCCTATGTCATCAATATGTAGATTTCTTAACAAAGTTTAATGGTATTCTTTGATCAACCTCAAGTTTCACAAAACACACTGCACTTTCATAAGGGCTCCCCATGGCTGACAGATCAGCCATTCAAAAGAAGGGAAGTGTCAGAGATGGCTCTGCTAGACTCATGTATTTTTCAGTAGAATCTGGGTCAGGATGTTGTGGTCAGGAGATGCTTCTGGAGCTCTGGGACCCATAAGCCTGAGTGTCATGGTGGAGTATTAGGACAACTTGAAAACATAGTGGCAGGAGGAGGCTTCCTCTCTCCCCTGCAGTTCATCCTCCACCACACCCAATGCGCTCAATAGATATTGGTTAAATGAATAATGGGGCCGGGCATGGTGGCTCACGCCTGTAATCCCAGCACTTTGGGAGGCTGAGGCAGGTGGATCACCTGAGGTCAGGAGTTCAAGACCAGCCTGGCCATAGAGGCAGGGGAAGCACTTGCACCTGGGAGGCAGAGTTTACAGCATGCTGAGATGGCACCACTGCACTCCAGCCTGGGTGACAGAGCAAGACTCAAAAAAAAAAAAAAATGGATTTATTCCTTCCAAACTGCAACTCACCAAAAGAAGACCAACACGCATCACAATGTTGTGGCCATAATCACCACAGTGACAATAATAAATATAATCAACTGTCAAGCCAGCCACCTCCACTAAACCCAGTGGATCACATCTGGTGTTTCACTTTGGGGATATTTTAGTGGTCATGATAGATTGTTGCCTGACTGCTGGCTGTTTCTACCATGTTTCAGGAATATAGAGATGTGTACAGATGACCCCTAAAATTAATTAGTATGCAATTCTCAAAGAGCCGAACTGTACCCCAAAAGCTACTGGAATGAAAAAAAAAGTTTTAATTCTCAAAGAGACAAACTAGATAGTAGAAGCATTTATGTTCCCTTGGAGAATCTTCCCACCAAGGACTCAAAGTTGTCTCCAGACCAGGGAATGCCTGGGGCCTTGGACTTTCCCAATTCTGGTATCATCTCCCATTCTCCTTTAGGTCCAGTTTTCTCAGAGGGGCATGCATTGTTCATTGCCACCAAGGGTATCCAAGGACACAAACTGAAGATAATAGTGCCTTATTGTCTCTCAGTCATCTTTCTCTCCCACATGCCGGAAGGAGAGCCAAGTCCAATTTATCCAATTACAAAATAGCAACATTGGCATCATGAGATCAGCTAACAAAACTTTCAGAGGCAATCTATCTTCCTACCAAAAGTAACCAACATCTGTGGAGCACTTACCATGGCTAAGGGTCAACATAAGTGGTTTGCATGCTGCATGCATCAGGATGGACTAGGTTATGCTGCGGTAACAAATTAACGCCAGAGTCTCAGCAGCTTAGCAACCAAGGTTGATTTCTTACATTCCATGTCCACAATGGGTTGGCTGGGTATGATGTGCTCCATATGGCCACTCAAAGTCCTAGAATGATGGAAATTCTACCATCTTAATGCAAGGATTCTCCCATAGTTACTGCACCAGGAGATGAGAGAATGAGATAGTTATTCCCAAGCCCTCAAAAGCTGTAGACTAGAGGTGATGTCAGTGACTTCCACTTATAGAGCATTGGACCCTGGCATGGATCCATCTAACTACAGGGTGTCTGGGGAATACGGGGAACACCTGGAAATCCCATGAGCAGTAACCATTCCTGCCAGCATGCATTATTTCATCTGAACCTCACAACCCCATGGAATATAGAACAGAGGCTTGGAGAGTTATGGGACCTGCCCCAAGGCGTCATAGATAATGAGTTTCAGAGCTGAGATATGACCCTCGGCCTGGCAGGATTCAAACCACTATGCTGCATACTCATTATAAAATTCTATGAAATTCCTCATACAGCAAAACACCACACCAAGTAAAAAGAAAGCCAAGTTGTGCAAATACAAAATAGAACTCCCCTGACACTTCACCTCCTCACCCACCCCACCCCCACCGAAAGAATCAACCTACGCAAATAACTGGAATGAAATTCTCAGGCAATTTCAGCATGGGAAATGGGGTTATCTCATCTGGGTCTCACATCCGACCTCGTCAAGACAAGACCTTCCCTAAACTTCACCTGAACACCTGGACACATCGTCATGTCTTGCCGCTTCTTGTTACTGGAAATCCAATGATGATGTCTTTATACAATTTATAGGTCTTTCTATAAGTGCCAAGATAAATGTCATCTCTGTACCTGCATATCATTCAGAGGTAGGCAAGCTTCTATGTAAAGTGCTAGACAGTAAATATTATAAACTTTGCAGGACTCATCTGATCTCCATCCTATATATTTTTTTGTTTTTGTTTTTGTTTTACAATTTTTTTTCTTTTTAGATAGGGTCTAAAAAGAAAATAAAACTTATCCATGTTGTGATATGGATGAACGTTAAAAACATGCTCAGTGAAAGAAGCAGACATGAAAGGTCATATATTGTACAATTCCATTTATATGCAATGTTCAGACTAAGCCAATCGACAGAGATAGAAAGTAGATGAGAGGTTTCCAGGGGCTACAGGAGGGGATATGCAGAGTGACTGCTGAATGGATATGAGGCTTCCAATTGAGGTGTTGAAAAAGCCCTGAAACTAGGTAGTGGTGATAATTGCACAACATGATAAATGTACAAAATGTCACTGAATTGTACACTTTCAGATACACAGAATGGTAAATGTTGCATATATTATACCACAATTTTATCCATTTATTTGAGAGATAGAGTCTCACTCCGTCACCCAGGCTGCAGTGCAATGGCACAATCATAGCTCACTGCTGCCTTTACCGCCTGGGCTCAAGCAATCCTCATACCTAGTCTTCCAAGTAGCTGGGACTACATGTGAACCCTACCACACCCAGCTTTTTAAATTTTTTCATAGAGTTGCATTCTCGCAATATTGCCCAGACTGGCCCAAACTCCTGGCTTCAACTGATTCTCTCATCTCAGCCTCCCAAAGTGCTGGGATAACAGGTGTAAGCCATCAGGCCAGGCAATTTTTAATTCTTATGCAAAATTTTCAACTAATTCCTAGGATTAAAAAAAATGTCAATCAACATGAGGATTAGAGGAAAAAATAATTTTAAACAAGAGAAAAAATTAAATGAGATGATGTACACGTATACAGTGCCTGGTCTCATGATCACTGAGTCCACTGCAGCTTTTTATTTTTTTTTCCATACAGGGTCTCACTCTGTCACCCAGGCTGAGTACAGTGGCATAATCATGGCTTACTGCAGCCTCAACCTCCTGGGCACAAGTGATCCTCTCACCTCAGCCTCTCAAGTAGCTGGGACTACAGATGCACACAACCACACCTAGCTATTTTTGTTGTTGTTGTTGTATTTTTTGGTAGTGGCAGGGTCTCACCATGTTGCCCAGGCTGGCATCTTGAACTCCTGGACTCAAGCGATCCTCCCACCTCAGCTTCCCAAAGTGCTGGGATTACAGGTGTGAGCCACCATGCCCATCCTGTTGTAGCTATTTTAATAGTGCTGGTGAACAATAATTTGCTCTCCCTATAAAAACAGAACATACTAAGCCAAGGAAAGCACCAATCCAGTTTGTTCTCCTCAGATCTTCAAAATGTTGGAATTAGTATAAGAGTCCAAAATATTTCATGTGGTTTGATTTTTTTTTTTTTTTTTTTTTGGAGATGAAGTCTCGTTCCATCGTCCAGGTTGGAATGCAGTGGCGCAATCTCGGCTCACTGCAACCTCTGCCTCCCGGATTCAAGCAATTCTCCTGCCTCAGCCTCCCGAGTAGCTGGGATTACAGACATGTACTGCCACGCCTGGCTAATTTTTGCATTTTTAGTAGAGATGTGGTTTCTCCATGTTAGCCAGGCTGGTCTTGAACTCCTGACCTCAAATGATATACACACCTTGGCCTCCCAAAGTGCCAGGATTACAGGTGTAAGCCACCATGCCCGGCCAGTTTGATTTTTTATTGTGGTAAAATACACACAAAATCTATTATTTTAGCCATTTTCAAAGGAAAAATTCAGTGATGTTAAGTGCATCCACCACATTGTACAGCCATGTCCCCCATCCATCTCCAGAACGCTTTCATCCTGTCCTGCAAATATGCAGCACCTTGCTACACTCCAGTTTGTTTGTTTGTCCCACAACAGAGCTGGGCTGAATTATTAATGTGGACTTTGTTCAACAATGGACTAAAGAGGGAGAAGCCCATGAACTGTGTGAGGAGTGCATGACAGGTGCTCGTGGGATGACATGGCTCGGCACCCTCCAGCTGCTGCTGCCGCTGCCTGTCCTGCTGGGCGGCCACCTCCTCCCAGAGAAGAAGAGCACTCACAACTGCTGCTGATCTCCTTCCAGGGCTTCCGCTGGGACTAGGATCAGGATGTGGACACCCCCAACCTGGACCGTCTGGCCGGGGAGGGCGTCAAGGCCAAGTACCTCATGCCGCCCCTTGTCACAATGACCTCCCCTTCCCACTTCACTGCCATCCCAGGTAAGCGTCACTCTGCCCATTTCACCTGATGCCCATCAAAGCCCCAGCGTCCGTCATTCCCTGTGATAAGAAGCAAAAGCTCGGTCAGCTCTAGGGAGGCTGAGGCGGCTCCGGGGTCTCACTCTGTTGCCCAGGCTATAGCTCAATGGTATAATCACAGCTCAGTGGAGCCTCAAACTCCTGGTCTCAAGCAGTCCTACCATGCCTAATTTTCTCATTTTCTTAGAAATTGGGGCAGGGGGTGTCTCACTATGTTGCCTGGGCTGGTTTTGAACTCCTGGCCTCAAGTGAGCATCCCACCTCAGCCTCCCAAAGTGCTGAGATTGGAGACATGAGCTACCGTGACTGGCCTGATCTTTTTTAAAAAAGTAAATAAGGCCGAGCATGGTGACTCACCCCTGTAATCCCAGCACTTTGGGTGGCTGAGGCAGGTGGATCACCTGAGGTCAGGAGTTCAAGACCAGCTTGGCCAACATGGTGAAACATCGTCTATCCTAAACATACAAAAATAAGCTGGGCGTGGTGGCAGATGCCTATAACGACAGCTGCTCGGGAGTCTGATACAGGAGAATCACTTGAACCCAGGAGGTGGAAGTTGAAGTGAGCCGAGATCATGCCATTGCACTCAGTTAGATGAGGTGACTCATACCCTCCAATGGTGTCCTGGTTCTCTTACATAAGAATTGAAATGTCTTTCTGTGGCCCAAAAGATCCCACACAGCCTGGCCCCTGGCCCATCTTCTGCCAGACTCTCTCATCTCTCTCCCTCTCCTTCACTTCCTTCCGGATCACAAAGGCCTTTTGCCTGTGCCTTCTGCCCTGCTCCCTCCAGCCCCAGGGCCTTGACCTGTGCTAGTCCAGTCCCTCCAGCTCACCAGGAGCATGCAGTCCAGTCGGGGAGACAGACACCAGACACCCAAACAGGCACATACATCCCGTGACAACTAAGCAGGCATCAAGGAGGAAAACGAGTATTCCAGGCACAGACTACAGCGGTAAACTGGCTTCAAACTAGAGAGGGAGAAAGGGGGTCTCTGAGCATGGGGCAGTTGAGCTGAAAGAGATCTCAGGGGACCAGAGCAAGGAAAACTGTTCCAGGCAGAGGGAAGAGCATGTGTGAGGTCTCTGAGACAAAGACTTGTCATTTCAGAATCCCAGTGGCCACTAAAATAGAGGGATTCCAACCCAAAAAGGAGAAAGAGGAGGCTGCTGGAAAGCAAAGGACTCTGTGTAAGAATCATAATAGCGGGGGTGGAGCCAAGATGGCCAAACAGGAACAGCTCCAGTCTACAACTCCTGGCGTGAGCGACGCAGAAGACAGGTGATTTCTGCATTTCCAACTGAGGTACTGGGTTTATCTCACTGGGGAGTGTCAGAAAGTGGGTGCAGGACACTTGGTGCAGCGCACCGAGCATGAGCCCAAGCAGGGCGAGGCATTGCCTCACCCAGGAAGTGCAAGGGGTCAGAGAATTCCCTTCCCTAGTCAAAGAAATGGGTGACAGATGGCACCTGGAAAATTGGGTCACTCCCACCCTAATACTGCACTTTTCCAACAGTCTTAGCAAACAGCACACCAGGAGATTGTATCCCGCGACTGGCTCAGAGGGTCCTAAACCCATGGAGCCTCACTCATTGCTAGCACAGCAGTCTGAGATCAAACTGCAAGGTGGCAGCAAGGCTGGGGGAGGGGCACCCGCCATTGCCTAGGCTTCAGTAGGTAAACAAAGCAGCTGGGAAGCTCCAACTGGGTGGAGCCCACCACAGCTCAAGGAGGCCTGCCTGCCTCTGTAGGCTCCATCTCTGGGGGCAGGGCATTGGTAAACAAAAGGCAGCAGAATCCTCTGCAGACTTAAATATCCCTGTCTGACAGCTTTGAAGAGAGTAGTGGTTCTCCCAGAATGCAGCTGGAGATCTGAGAATGGACAGACTGCCTCCTCAAGTGGGTCCCTGACCCCCGAGTTGCCTAACAGGAGGCACCCCACCATAGGGGCAGACTGACACCTCACATGGCCGGGTACTCCTCTGAGACAAAACTTCCAGATGAACAATCAGGCAGCAACATTTGCTGCTCACCAATATCCGCTGTTCTGCAGCCTCCACTGCTGACACCTAGGCAAACTCCAACACACCTGCAGCTGAGGGTCCTGACTCTTAGAAGGAAAACTAACAAACAGAAAAGACATCCACACTAAAACCCCATCTGTACGTCACCATCATCAAAGACCAAAGGTAGATAAAACCACAAAGATGGGGAAAAAACAGAGCAGAAAAACTGGAAACTCTAAAAATCAGAGTGTCTCTCCTCCTCCAAAGGAATGCAGCTCCTCACCAGCAATGGAACAAAGCTGGACAGAGAATGACTTTGATGAGTTGAGAGAAGAAGACTTCAGACGATTAAATTACTCCAAGCTAACGGAGGAATTTCGAACCCATGGCAAAGAAGTTAAAAACCTTGGGGAAAAAATTAGATGAATGGCTAACTAGAATAACCAATGCAGAGAAGTCCTTAAAGGACCTAATGGAGCTGAAAACCAAGGCACAAGAACTACGTGACAAATGCACAAGCCTCAGTAGCCGATTCGATCAACTGGAAGAAAGGGTATCAGTGATGGAAGATGAAATGAATGAAATGAAGCAAGAAGAGAAGTTTAGAGAAAAAAGAATAAAAAGAAATGAACAAAGCCTCCAAGAAATATGGGACTATGTGAAAAGACCAAATCTACGTCTGATTGGTGTACCTGAAAGTGACAGGGAGAATGGAACCAAGTTGGAAAACACTCTGCGGGATATTATGCAGGAGAACTTCCCCAATCTAGCAAGGCAGGCCAACATTCAAATTCAGGAAATACAGAGAACACCACAAAGATATTCCTCAAGAAGAGCAACTCCAAGACACATAATTGGCAGATTCACCAAAGTTAAAATGAAGGAAAAAATGTTAAGGGCAGCCAGAAAGAAAGGTCAGGTCACCCTCAAAGGGAAGCCCATCAGACTAACAGCTGATCTCTCAGCAGAAACTCTACAAGCCAGAAGAGAGTGGGGGCCAATATTCAACATTATTAAAGAAAAAAATTTTCAACTCAGAATTTCAAATCCAGCCAAACTAAGCTTCATAAGTAAAGGAGAAATAAAATACTTTACAGACAAGCAAATGCTGAGAGATTTTGTCACCACCAGTCCTGCCCTACAAGAGCTCCTGAAGGAAGCACTAAACATTGAAAGCAACAATCAGTACCAGCCACTGCAAAAACATGCCAAATTGTAAAGACCATCAAGGCTAGGAAGAAACTGCATCAACTAATGAGCAAAATAACCAGCTAACATCATGACAGGATCAAATTCACACATAACTATATGAACCTTAAATGTCAATGGGCTAAATTCTCCGATTAAAAGACAGACTGGCAAATTGGATAAAGAGTCAAGACCCATCAGTGTGCTGTATTCAGGAAACCCATCTCATGTGCAGAGACACACATAGGCTCAAAATAAAGGGATGGAGGAAGATCTACCAAGCAAATGGAAAACAAAAAAAAGGCTGGTGTTGCAATCCTAGTCTCTGATAAAACAGACTTTAAACCAACAAAGATCAAAAGAGACAAAGAAGGCCATTGCATAATGGTAAAGGGATCAATTCAACAAGAAGAGCTAACTATCCTAAATATATATGCACCCAATACAGGAGCACCCAGATTCAAAAAGCAAGTCCTTAGAGACCTACAAAGAGACTTAGACTCCCACACAATAATAATGGGAGACTTTAACACCCCACCGTCAACATTAGACAGATCAACGAGACAGAAAGTTAACAAGGATATTCAGGAATTGAACTCAGCTCTGCACCAAGCGGACCTAATAGACATCTACAGAACTCTCCACCCCAAATCAACAGAATATACATTCTTCTCAGCACCACACCACACTTATTCCAAAATTGACCACATATTTGGAAGTGAAGCACTCTTCAGCAAATGTAAAACAACAGAAATTAAAACAAACTGTCTCTCAGACCACAGTGCAATCAAACTAGAACTCAGGATTAAGAAACTCACTCAAAACTCCTCAACTACATGAAAACTGAACAACCTGCTCCTGAATGACTACTGGGTACATAATGAAATGAAAGGCAGAGATAAAGGTGTTCTTTGAAACCAACGAGAACAAAGACACAACATACCAGAATCTCTCGGACACATTCAAAGCAGTGTGTAGAGGGAAATTGATAGCACTAAATGCCCACAAGAGAAAACAGGAAAGATCTAAAATTGACACTATAACATCACAATTAAAAGAACAAGAGAAGCAAAGAGCAAACACATTCAAAAGCTAGCAGAAGGCAAGAAATAACTAAGATCAGAGCAGAACTGAAGGAAATAGAGACACAAAAAACCCTTCAAAAAATCCATGAATCCAGGAGCTGGTTTTTTGAAAAGATCAACAAAATTGATAGACCACTAGCAAGACTAATAAAGAAGAAAAGAGAGAAGAATCAAATAGATACAATAAAAATTGATAAAGGGGATATCACCACCAATCCCAGAAAAATACAAACTATCATCAGAGAATAGTATAAACACCTCTATGCAAATAAACTAGAAAATCTAGAAGAAATGGATAAATTCCTCGACACGTACACCCTCCCAAGGCTAAACCAGGAAGAAGTTGAATCTCTGAATAGACCAATAACAGGCTCTGAAATTGAGGCAATAATTAATAGCTTACCAACCAAAAAAGTCCAGGACCAGACGGATTCACAGCCGAATTCTACCAGAGGTACAAGGAGGAGCTGGTACCATTCCTTCTGAAACTATTCCAAATAATAGAAAAAGAGGGAATCCTACCTAACTCATTTTATGAGGCCAGCATCATCTTGATACCAAAGCCCGGCAGAGACACAACCAAAAAAGAGAATTTTAGACCAATATCCCTGATGAACATCAATGCAAAAATCCTCTATAAAATACTGTCAAACCGAATCCAGCAGCACATCAAAAACTTATCCACCATGATCAAGTGGGCTTCCTCCCTGGGATGCAAGATTGGTTCAACATATTCAAATCAGTAAACATAATCCAGCATATAAACAGAACCAATGACAAAAACCATACGATTATCTCATTAGATGCAGAAAAGACGTGTGACAAAATTCAACAACCTTCATGCTAAAAACTCTCAATAAATTAAGTATTGATGGGACGTATCTCAAAATAATAAGAGCTATCTATGACAAACCCACAGCCAATATCATACTGAATGGGCAAAAAATGGAAGCATTCCCTTTGAAAACTGGCACAAGACAGGGATGCCCCCTCTCATCACTCCTATTCAACATAGTGTTGCAAGTTCTGGCCAGGGCAATCAGGCAGGAGAAGGAAATAAAGGGTATTCAATTAAGAAAAGAGGAAGTCAAATTGTCCCTGTTTGCAGATGATATGATTGTATATCTAGAAAACCCGATTGTCTCAGCCCAAAATCTCCTTAAGCTGATAGGCAACTTCAGCAAAGTCTCAGGATACAAAATCAATGTGCAAAAATCACAAGCATTCTTATACACCAATACAGACAAACAGAGAGCCAAATCATGAGTGAACTCCCATTCACAATTGCTTCAAAGAGAATAAAATACCTAGGAATCCAACTTACAAGGCATGTGAAGGACCTCTTCAAGGAGAACTATAAACCACTGCTCAACGAAATAAGAGAGGACACAAACAAATGGAAGAACATTCCATGCTCATGGGTAGGTAGAATCAATATCGTGAAAATGGCCATACTGCCCAAGGTAATTTATAGATTCAATGCAATCCCCATCAAGTTACCAATGACTTTCTTCACAGAATTGGAAAAAACTACTTTAAAGTTCATATGGAACCAAAAAAGAGCCCACATTGCCAAGTCAATCCTAAGCCAAAAGAACAAAGCTAGAGGCATCACACTACCTGACTTCAAACTATGCTACAAGGCTACAGTAATCAAAACAGCATGGTACTGGTACAAAAACAGAGATATTAACCAATGGAACAGAACAGAGCCCTCAGAAATAATGCCACAGATCTACAACCATCTGATCTTTGACAAACCTGACAAAAGCAAGAAATGGGGAAAGGATTCCCTATTTAATAAATGGTGCTGGGAAAACTGGCTAGCCATATGGAGAAAGCTGAAACTGGATCCCTTCCTTACGCCTTATACAAAAATTAATTCGAGATGGATTAAAGACTTAAATGTTAGACCTAAAACCATAAAAACCCTAGAAGAAAACCTCAGCAATACCATTCAGGACATAGGCATGGGCAAGGACTTCATGTCTAAAACACCAAAAGCAATGGCAACAAAAGCCAAAACTGACAAATGGGATCTAATTAAACTAAAGAGCTTCTGCACAGCAAAAGAAACTACCATCAGAGTGGACAGGCAACCTACAGAATGGGAGAAAATTTTTGCAATCTACTCATCTGACAAAGGGCTAATATCAAGAATCTACAATGAGCTCCAATAAATTTACAAGAAAAAAACAAACAATCCCATCAAAAAGTGGGCAAAGGATATGAACAGACACTTCTCAAAAGAAGACATTTATGCAGCCAAAAGACACGTGAAAAAAATGCTCATCATCCCTGGCCAGAGAAATGCAAGTCAAAACAACAATGAGATACCATCTCACACCAGTTAGAATGGCGATCATTAACAAGTCAGGAAACAACAGGTGCTGGAGAGGATGTGGAGAAATAGGAACACTTTTACACTGTTGGTTGGACTGTAAACTAGTTCAACCATTGTGGAATTCAGTGTGTCAATTCCTCAGGGATCTAGAACTAGAAATACCATTTGACCCAGCCATCCCATTACTGGGTATATACCCAAAGGATTATAAATCATGCTGCTATAAAGACACATGCACACGTATGTTTATAATGGCACTATTCACAATAGCAAAGACTTGGAACCAAGCCAAATGTCCAACAACGATAGACTGGATTAAGAAAATGTGGCACATATACACCATGGAATACTATGCAGCCATAAAAAATGATGAGTTTACGTCCTTTGTAGGGACATGGATGAAGCTGGAAACCATCATTCTCAGCAAACTATTGCAAGGACAAAAAACCAAACACCACATGTTCTCACTCATAGGTAGGAATTAAACAATGAGAACATATGGACACAGGAAGGGGAACATCACACACTGGGGCCTGTTGTGGGGTCGGGGGAGGGGGGAGGGATAGCATTAAGAGATATACCTAATGTTAAATGACGAGTTAATGGGTACAGCACACTAACATGGCACATGTATACATATGTAACAAACCTGCACGTTGTGCACATGTACCCTAAAACTTAAAGTACAATAGAAAATAAAAAATAAAATAAAAACTTTGGCTGTTGACTCCAAATATCCTGCTTCATCATCTCTCTACTCCAGAAACTTTTCACATGCTTACAAAGGGTGTTCGTTTCTCCTCTAAGTATTTGCTCGCCAGCCCCACCGGCAAGAAGGTGGAAGTAGGGCCTCTGCCTGGGATGGTAACTCTCAAATGTAAGGCAAGACCTGTCTCTCCACCAATATCCCCAGGACTGAAGGACTGTGAAAGTCTGCATATTGATCAAGCTTCTCCCTCCCTTATCTGAAGGGAATTACTTCCTTCAAGACACTTTTCCTCTTCCCACCTAGCTCCATGCCCCCATCCAGTCATCTTCCAACCCATCTCTCCCCACCTGCATGCCACACAAGGGGGGCGTGACCACAGCACCTGGAAGTTCCTTAAAGTTGAATGGTGTGTCAGGCCGGGTGCAGTGGCTCATGTCAGTAACCCCAGCACTTTGGGAGGCTGAGGCAGGAAGGTCACTTGAGGTCAGGAGTTCGAGACTAGCCTGGCCAAAATGGTGAAACTCCATCTCTACTAAAAATATAAAAATTAGCTGGGTGTGGTTGTGCTTGCCTGTAGTCCCAGCTACTTGGGGGGCTGAGGCAAGGGAATCACTTGAACCTTGGAGGCAGAGGTTACAGTGAGCCAAGATTGCGCCATTGCACTCCAGCCTGGGCGACAGAGTGAGACTCTGTCTCAAAAAAAAAAAAGAAAAAACGAAATCGAATGGTGTGATTAGCTTATGATTTTTTAAAAATGGAATGATGTATTCATTTTCTAAGCTGCATAACAAATCAATACAAATTTAGCAGCTTAAAACACCCATCTATTACCTCTCCTTTCCTGTGGGTCAGGAGTCTGGGGGTGCAGCTTCAGCTGGGTCCTCTGCTCAGGTACTTACAAGGTTGTGATCAAGGTGTCGGCTGTAATTAGTGTCTTATATGAGGCTTACGGTCTTCTCCCAACCTCACATGGTTGTTGGCAGAATTTATTTCCAAGCAACTGTGGAACTCATGTGGCTGGCTTCTTCAAAACCAGCCAAGCATGGTGGCTCACGCCTGTAATCCCAGCACTTTCGGAGGCCGAGGCCGGTGGATCACCTGATGTCAGGAGTTCGAGACCAGCCTGGCCAATATGGTGAAACCCCGTCTCTACATAACTTAGCCGGGCATGATGGAGCACACCTGTAATCCCAGCTACTTTGGAGGCTGAGGCAGGAGAATCACTTGAACCCAGGAGGCAGAGGTTGCAGTAAGCTGAGATCGTGCCACTGCACTCCAGCCTGGGCAACAGAGTGAGACTCCATGTCAAAAACAAATAAACAAACAAAAACCAAAAACCAGGAGGAAGGAGTCTGTCTCCTCCAGACCTTCATTGAAGATCTCACCTGAAGATGTCAGGCCCACCCTGAATAATCTCCCTTTTGATTAACTCAAAGTGAATGGATTAGGGGCTTAGTTACATCTGCAAAATCCCTTCATCTTTTTCATAGGTATAGATTAGAAGCAAGCCACGGGTCCTGCCTACACTCCAGGGGAGAGGAGATTACACCTGGCATTTATCCAGGGCAAGAACCTAAGGGGTCATCTCAGAATTCTGCCTTCCAAATAGATCCTCGGTGGAGCTTACATGCCTGGGCGAGCACCAGCCTTTGTTTAAAGGCAACAGAGAATGGTGTCCTGGCTCAGATCTCCAGCAAGCCTCCACAATGATGGTCCAGTATCTGAAGCCAGGGCCAAGGCAGCAGGAGCTTTGGGTGCACATGGGGGCTTCCCCCACTTTGAAGTGAGTCATCACATCCGTATTAGAACCTAGCTGTTGCTTAGGCAAAAATGAGGATTTAGAAGAAGATGGAGAGAAGAGGAGAGTTAATTTAAAAGTACTTATATTCGGCCGGGCATGGTGGCTCATGCCTGTAATCCCAGCACTTTGGGAGGCTGAGGCAGGCAGATCATGAGGTCAGGAGATGGAGACCATCCTGGCTAACACGGTGAAATCTTGTCTCTACTAAAAATACAAAAAATTAGCTGGGCGTGGTGGCCGGCGCCTGTAGTCCCAGCTACTCAGGAGGCTGAGGCAGGAGAATGGCATGAACCCAGGAGGCGGAGCCTGCAGTGAGCCGAGATCTCGCCATGCACTCCAGCCTGGGCAACAGAGCGAGACTCCATCTCAAAAAAAGAAAAAAAAGAGAAAGTACTTATATTCATTCCCTAGGGCTGTCACAACCAAATACCAAAAGCTGGGTGACTTGAAACCAGAGAAATTGATTGTCTTGTGGCTCTGGTGGCCAGCAGTCTCAAACGGAGGTGCCACCAGGGCCACGCTCCCTCCTGCACTTGTCGGGGAGTCCTGCCTTGCCTCTTCCTAGCTTCCTGTGGTCTCCTGGCAGTCTTCAGTGTTTCTTGGTTTGCATACGCATCAGTCCAATCTTCCATCCAATCCATGGCCTTCTTCCCTGTGTCTCTGTGACTCGGCGTGTCCTCTCCTCTTTTATAAGGACACCAGTCATTGACTTAGGCCCTCCCTACTCCAGGATGACTTCATCCTAATCAATAGCATCTGCAATAACCCTATTTCTTTCTTTCTTTTCTTTTCTTTTCTTCTCTCTCTCTCTCTTTCTTTCTTTCTTTTTTGAGACGGAGTTTCACTCTTGTTGCCCAGGCTGGAGTGCAATGGCGCGATCTCAGCTCAATGCAACCTCCATCTCCTGAGTTCAAGCAATTCTCCTGCCTCAGCCTCCCGAGTAGCTGGGATTACAGATATGCGCCACCACACCCAGGTAATTTTGAATTTTTAGTAGAGAAGGGGTTTCTCCATGTTGGTCAGGCTGGTCTCAAACTCCTGACCTCAGGTGATCCTCCCGCCTTGGCCTCCCGAAGTGCTGGGATTACAGGCATGAGCCACCACGCCTGGCCTGCAATAACTCTATTTCTAAATAAGGTCACATTCTGAGCTACTAGAATTTAGGATTTCAACATGTTTTGAGGAGGACTCAATTTAACCCATAAGAATACTATGTGGGCCACACATGCTGCTTCACATCTGTTATCCCAGCACTTTGGGAGGTTGAAGCAGGAGGACCATTTCTCAGGGCGTAGGGGGACACCAGGTGCATAAAACCACAGCGTTGACTGGTGTGGGGGCTCACACCTGTCTGTTTGGGAAGCTAAGGCAGGGCGATCACTTGAGCCCAGGAGTTTGAGGCCAGCCTGGGTGACATAGTGAGATCTCACTTCTAAAAAAAAAAAAAATTTAGTTAGCTGGGCATGTTGGTACCCACCTACAGTCCCAGCTACTCAGGAGGCTGAAGCAGGAGGGTCGCTTGAGTCCAGAAGATCAAGGCTGTGGCGAGCTGTGATTGCACCATTGCACTCCAGCCTGGGCAACAGAGCAAGCCCTGTCTCAAACAAACAAACAAAAAAAATCATCTCGCTTGTCTTCTGATTCCCTGAGCTGTCATAGAAAGGAAGTGAAGCAGTGAAAGCATCCCCCCAAAGGGACTTTTCAAAACCAGCCTAAGCAACATAGCAAGACCTTGCCTTTAGAAAGTATTTAAATTTGAAGGAAAAAAAAAAAAAAAAGCAGTACTATGGCACAGAGTTGACAGCTACAGGTATGGCTACATCCAGGTCCTAAAACTATATCATCAGAATGACCCCTCACCCTCCCCCCGCTTTCCATTTTACTTTCTTAAGCATGAACATGAAATTTCCAAGATTGTTTCTCCTTTGGCTAATCTGCTTCTCAGACCCAATCACTGTGGCCAGGGTGGTGGAAGGATACTGACATCCAGGCTGGGACCACATGCCCCAGCTCCAGATCAGGGTGGGGAATGGCCAGTCGCACACATGTCGTGGGGAACTAGTGACTCCTCGGTGGAAAATCGGGGACTGTCATTGGAGAGGAGCGATAGAAGAAAGGCTGAAGCAGTGCAATGTATCTCCTGCACCAGCCTGGGCCTTGATGTCTTGAGTACTGATGACCCAGTACTCAGTCTAGGGCAATCCCAACTCCATCTGCGGGGCTGCCTACAGTACATGGACCCCCTCACTGGATTTGCTGACCACACGTGCAAACAGCCACTTCCCAGCCCCACTCCCCGCAGTCCCCCTGAACCCTGTCAAAATTCCCCTCAGTTCTCACCAAGATTAAAAGCAATGCTGAGGGTGAGCGGCTCATTCTGCTAGTTTAACTCTCTCGATTCCTTCCCTCTCCAGAACTCTGTACTTACTGCTCCGTCACTGGTAATGACAGTGAACATCTTCACAATCTCAGGTTTTATTGCAAAGTGATTGAGGACCAGTTAGAATAAGTTATGCTACAGAAACTAAAGAAATCCCGTCAAACAAATGGTATGTAATAGAAAGTCTTAGGGCAGTCGTGTATATTTTCTCCCCCAATGAATCAATTGAAAATGAGAAGCTGTTACCGCCATGTTCCGGGCAGAAGCTATCAAAAGTAAAAGCCATGATATTATAATTTGATGATTTTTCATCCGTCAAATGGATATGGCCCAGGGGTGAAAAGTGGATGCTGCGTAACTAGATGATGGTCAAGAGTTATAAAAATGAGGTCCTCTCTGTTCAACATTTCTCCTTTCTTGAAAGGATACTCAATGTCATGCTCAGGGCCTCTAATGGCCAGAAATAAAGTTCCTCCCAGTTCCAGAGCAACCCAGGACAACCCCAAAACCAGAGCAACTGTTTATTGCCATGTAGACTATGTACTGTGCAATTCCTGGGGTGGCATTTTCATAAATATGTGGGTGGCGCCCCCTGGAGGTATGCAATGCACAACTTGCACAAATGGTAAGTCATCGTATCCCAAAGTCCACAAAGAAGAAGTAAACAAAATTCCCATCGACGTTGCCATCAGTCATGAGTCTGCCTTTTCTTCATGGGATAGTAGCAAAAACTATTTGGCCAAGTGTGCTTGGATGATCTCTAAGATGGAATCAGGGTCTCTCACTTTCAGCACTATTGACATTTGGGGCTGGATCATTCTTTTGTCTTAGTGGGAGTTGTCCGGAGCATTGTAGGATGTTTAGCAGCATCCGTGGCCTCTACCTATTAGCTGCCAGTAGCACCACCTCCTCCAGCTGCAACAACCAAAATTGTCTCCAGACATGGCCACATGTTCTCTTGGGGGCAAAATCACCCCCTGGTTGAGAAGCCCTGAAGTAAAGACATAATACGCAGATCACATGTAAGTAAGAGAGCCTAAGGGCCACACAGGTGATGCTGTACCCATGACAAAGCAGAGTCTTAAAGAGGTTAGAGAGGTGGAGAAAGAGAAAAGAAATGAAGTCCCAGCTGCCGAGAGCAACAGATGCTGACTAGATGTTGTTGATAGTCATCTTTAAACTGAGTTAAAAGATGCTGAGAAGCCATCAGCTCCCATCCTGCTCTCCAGGGACAACGCTGCTGAAAAAGGCCTGGAGATCAACAAAGCCCCAAACACAGGTGCACTGAGCAAAGAAACCAGAGATTGAGACAAAAAAGACACTCCCTCAAAGACTACTCATTTCCAAGAGGGGAGAAAAAGTGGAGTCATGAAAAACAGTTGAGGCTGGGTAGAGTGACTCGCACCTGTAATCCCAGCACTTTGGGATTACTCCCAGGCTGAGATGGGAAGATTGCTTGAACTCAGGAGTTCAAGACCAGCCTGGGCAAAATAGCAAGACCTTGCCTCTAGAAAAAGGGAAAAAATTAGCCAGGTGTGGTGATACATGCCTGTGGTCTCAGCTACTCGGGAGGCTGAGGTGGGAGGATCGCTTGAACCCAGGAGGTAGAGGCTGCAGTGAGCTGGGATCGTACCACTGCACTCCAGCCTGGGCTACAGATCCTGTCTCAAAAAAGAAAAAAATTAAACAAAATTAAGGCCGGGCACGATGGCTCATGGCTGCAATCCCAGCACTTTGGGAGGCCAAGGTGGGCAGATCACGAGGTGAGGAGATTGAGACCATCCTGGCTAACACGGTGAAACCCCATCTCTACTAAAAATACAAACAATTAGCCGGACATGGTGCTGGGTGCCTATAGTCCCAGCTACTCTGGAGGCTGAGGCAGAAGAATGGAGTGACCTCGGGAGATGGAGCTTGCAGTGAGCCAAGATCACACCACTACACTCCAGCCTGGGCAAAACAGCAAGACTCCATCTCAAAAAAAAGAAAATTAAAAAATTTTTTGAGACCAAGTCTCACTCTGTCACCCAGGCTGGAGTGAAATGGTGCGATCCTGGCTCACTGCCACCTCCGCCTCCTGGGTTCAAGTGATTCTCATGTCTCAACCTTGTGCCTCAACATGACTACAGGCATGTTGTCACCATGCCTAATTTTTGCATTTTTAGTAGAGATGGGGTTTCACCACGTTGTCCAGGATGGTCTTGAACTCCTAGGTTCAAGCACTCTACCCACCTCAGCCTCCCAAAATGCTGAGATTACAGGCATGAGCCACCGTGCCCGACCTCTAACTTTTCATTATGGAAATTTCCCATATACACAAAAAGCAGGGAGAGAATTATACCATGAACCCCCATGCACCCATCATCCCACTGCAAGAACTTGTCAACATTTCTCCAATCTCATTCCAGTTCCCACTTTTCTTTTCCTTCTTGCTATTTTAGGATATTTTAAAGCAAATTCCAGACATTTCATTTCACCCACATCCATAACACACCCGGGTGCATTCTTGATGTAAGGGTTTTGTTTTGTTTTATAACCCCCATACCATTGCCACAGTTAATAGATTTAACATGAAGAAACTAAGATTCCTGCAGGTGGAGAAAAGATCTAATTACCACATTAAAGCTTCTCCTACTAGCGCTTCTCAGATCTGAACGTGTATGCAAATCACCTGGGCATCTTGTTAAAATGCAGATTCTGGCCCAGGAGGTCCTTCCGGTGAGCGCTGAGAGTCTTCAATTCCAAAAGCTCCCAGGTGATGCAATGCTAAGGGTCCATGAATCACACAAGAGGAAGGGTCGGCCAACACTCACAACAACTGGGTGCAAAGTCCTGACTGTTCCTGACCGCAGGGCCTTCAGTGAATGGGGAAGCTGGGGACCATTTGGCAAAGAAGGGAGGTTTTTCGTATCTGCTCCAGGCCTTGTAGAACTGCCAGGGAATAACAGACACAAGGTCAGCAAAGTCTAACCAACAGCACGAGTGCATTCATATTCCACAACCACTGCAGCAAAGAACCATGAAATGGGTGGCTTCAAACAATGTCTGGGCCGGGTGCTGTGGCTCACACCTAAATAATCTCAGGACTTTGGGAAGCTGAGGTGGGTGGATCACTTGAGGCCAGGAATTCGAGACCAGCCTGGCCAATATGGCAAAACCTTGTCTCTACTAAAAATACAAAAATTAGCCATGCATGGTGGCAGGCACCTGTAGTCCCCACTTCTTGGGAGGCTGAAGCAAGAGAATGGCTTGAGCCTGGGAGGTGGAGGTTGCAGTGAACTAAGATCGTGCCACTGCACTCCAGACTGGGCAACAGAGCATGCCTCTTTCTAAAAAAAAAAAAAAAAAAAAAATATTGTCTGGAGGCCAGAAGTCCAAAATCAATCAAAGGTCAGCAGGAGCATGCTCCTTTCAGAGGTTCTAGGGGAGAATCCATTCCTTGCGTCTTCCAGCTTATAGAGGCTACTAGAATTCCTCAACTTGTGGCTGCATGATCCAATCTCTGCCTCTGTGATCACCTTGCCTCCTCCTCTTCTGTCTGGGTCTCCTCCTCTGGAGTAAGAGTGTCAGGCCTCTGAGCCCAAGCTAAGCCATCATATCCCCTGTGACCTGCATGTACACATCCAGATGGCCGGTTCCTGCCTTAACTGATGACATTATCTTGTGAAATTCCTTATCCTTGCTCATCCTGGTTCAAAAGCTCCCCTACTGAGCACCTTGTGACCCCCACTCCTGCCTGCCAGAGAACAACCCCCCTTTTTCCTTTACCTACCCAAATCCTATAAAATGGCCCCACCCCATCTCCCTTCACTGACTCTCTTTTTGGACTCAGCCCACCTGAACCCAGGTGAAATAAACAGGTTTATTGCTCACACAAAGCCTGTTTGGTGGTCTCTTCACACAAATGCATGTGAAATTTGGTGCCGTGGCTCAGATTGGGGGACCTCCCTTGGGAGATCAATCCCCTGTCCTCCTGCTCTTTGCTGTGTGAGAAAGATCCACCTACGACCTCAGGTCCTCAGACTGACCAGCCCAAGAAACATCTCACCAATTTCAAATCTGGGAAGCAGCTTCTTTTTACTCTCTTCTCCAACCTCCCTCACTATCCTTCAACATCTTTCTCCTTTCAATCTTGGCACCACACTTCAATCTCTCCCTTCTCTTAATTTCAATTCCTTTCATTTTCCGGTACAGACCAAGGAGACACGTTTTATCCATGGACCCAAAACTCCAGTGCTGGTCACGGACTAGGGAAGGCAGCCTTCCCTTGGTGTTTAATCATTGCAGGGACGCCTCTCTGATTATTCACCCAGGTTTCAGAGGTGTCAGACCACACAGGGATGCCTGCCTTGGTCCTTCACCCTTAGCGGCAAGTCCCGCTTTTCTGGGGGAGGCACAGGAACCCCGCCCTCTTATCTCTGCACCCCGATCCCTTATTTCCATGCCCTGCCCTCTTATCTCTGTGCTCTGATCCCTTATTTCCACAACCTGACCTCCTATCTCTGCACCCCAACCCTTTATTTCTGTGCCCCAACCCATTTCCTGCTTTTCTGGAAGGCAAGAATGCCCCACCCCTTCTCTTTGTGTCTCTACTCTCTCTTTTCTCTAGGCTTGCCTCCTTCACTATGGGCAAGATTCCACCCTCCATTCCCCTTTCTTCTCCCTTAGCCAGTGTTCTTCAAAACCTAAAACCTCTTCAACTCACACCTGACCTAAAACCTAAATGCCTTATTTTCTTCTACAATGCCGCTTGACCCCAATACAAACTCAAGAGTGGTTTCAAATAGCCAGAAAATGGCACTTTCAATTTTTCCATCCTACAAGATCTAGATAATTCTTGCCATAAGATGGGCAAATGGCCTCAGGTCCCTGATGTCCAGGCATTCTATTACACTTCGGTCCCTCCCTAGTCTCTGTTCCCAATGCAACTCATCCCAAATCTTCTTTCTTTCCCTCCCACCTGTCCCCTCAGTCCCAACCCCAAGTGTTGCTGAGTCTTTCTAATCTTCCTTTTCTACAGACCCATCTGACCTCTCCCCTCCTTGCCAGGCTGAGCTAGGTCCCAATTCTTCCTCAGCCTCTGCTCCTCCACCCTATAATCCTTTTATCACCTCCCCTCCTTACACTGGGTCTGGCTTACAGTTTCATTCCATGACTAGCCCTCCCCAACCTGCCCAGCAATTTACTCTTAAAAAGGTGGCTGGAGCTAAAGGCATAGTCAAGGTTAATGCTCCTTTTTCTTTATCCCAAATCAGATAAGGTTTAGGCTCTTTTTCATCAAATATAAAAATCCACCCCAGTTCATGGCTCGTTTGGCAGCAACCCTGAGATGCTTTACAGCCCTAGGCCCTAAGAGGTCAAAAGGCCGTCTTATTCTCAATATACATTTTATTACTCAATCTGCTCCCGACATTAAATAGAACTCCAAAAATTAAATTCCGGCCCTCAAACCCCACAACAGGACTTAATTAACCTCGCCTTCAAGGTGTACAATAAGAGAGTAGAGGCAGCCAAGTAGCAACATATTTCTCAGTTGCAATTCCTTGCCTCCACTGTGAGACAAACCCCAGCCACATCTCCAGCACACAAGAGCTTCCAAACGCCTAAAGTGCAGTGGCCAGGCATTCCTCCAGAACCTCCTCTCCCAGAAGCTTGCTACAAGTGCCAGAAATCTGGCCACCAGACCAAGGAATGCCCACAACCTGGGATTCCTCCTAAGCCATGTCCCATATGTGTGGGACCCCACTAGAAATCGGACTGTTCAACTCACCTGGCACCACTCCCAGAGCCCAAGGCTCTCTGACTGACTCCTTTCCAGATCTTCTTGGCTTAGCAGCTGCAGACCGACACTGCCCGATCGATCGCCTTGGAAGCCTACAGGACCATCACAGACACTCTAGGTTACTCTCACAGTGGAGTGTAAGTCCATCCCCTTCTTAATCAATACAGAGGCTACCCAATCCACATTACCTTCTTTTCAAGGGCCTGTTTCCCTTGCCTCCATAACTGTTGTGGGTATTGACAGCCAGGCTTCTAAACCTCTTAAAACTCCCCAACTCTGGTGCCAACTTAGACAATACTCTTTTAAGCAGTCCTTTTTAGTTATCCCCACCTGCCCAGTTCCCTTATTAGGCCGAGACACTTCAACTAAATTATCTGCTTCCCTGACTATTCCCAGACTACAGATACATCTCATTGCCACCCACCTTAACCCACAAGTAGAAGATACCTCTACTCCCTCCTTGGCAACCTATCATGCACCCCTTACCATCTCATTAAAACCTAATCACCCTTACCCCGCTCAATGCCAATATCTCATCCCACAGCATGCTTTGAAAGGATTAAAGCCTGTTATCACTCACCTGCCACAGCATGGCCTTTTAAAGCCTATAAACTCTCCTTACAATTCCCCCATCTTACCTGTCTTAAAACCAGACAAGCCTTACAAGTTAGTTCAGGATCTATGACTTATCAACCAAATTGTTTTGCCTATCCACCCCACGGTAACAAACACATATACTCTCCTATCCTCAATTCCTCCCTCCACAACCCATTATTCTGTTCTGGATCTCAAACATGCTTTCTTTACTATTCCTTTGCACCCTTCATCCCAGCCATTCTTTGCTTTCACTTGGACTGACCCTGACACCCATCAGGCTCAGCAAATTACCTGGGCTGTACTGCTGCAAAGCTTCACAGACAGCCCCCATTACTTCAGTCAAGCCCAAATTTCTTCCTTATGTGTTATCTATCTCAGCATAATTCTCATAAAAACACACGTGCTCTCCCTGCCGATCGTGTGTGACTAATCTCTAAAACCCCAACCCCTTCTACAAAACAACAACTCCTTTCCTTCCTGGGCATGGTTGGATACGTTCATCTTTAGATATCTGGTTTTGCCATCCTAACAAAACCATTATATAACCTCACAAAAGGAAACCTAGCTGACCCCATAGATCCTAAATCCTTTCCCCACCCTCTTTCTGTTCCTTGAAGACAGCTTTAAAGACTGCCCCCACCCTAGTCTTGGTTCCCTGACTGGGAAGCGAGGTAATTGACGGAAAGTCGAGGCAGCCCGTTAGGTGGCTTAGGCCTGCCCTGTGGAGCATCCCTGCGGGGGACTCCGGCCAGCTTGAGCGACACGGATCCTGAGAGCTCTCCCGGGTAGGCAATTGCCCCAGAGGAATGCCTCATCAGAGGAGTGTGTGGTAGGCCCCCATGGAGGATCAACACAGTGGCTGAACACAGGGAAGGAAGAGGCACTTGGAGTCCGGACATTTGAAACTTGGTAAGACTGATCTTTGGAACTTGCCCACTCCATTTGAGTGGAAGCGTGGCCTGATCACCCACGGCGTGCCTGTACTGGCACTTTGGTTTTTGTTTTTGACTTGACTTGAATTGCTTGATACTTTGGTTTTGGTTTGACCTGGCTTGGATTTCTGGATACTCTGATTTTGGTTTTGATTCTGGTTTGGTGAAAACTGAAAAAGTGTGTGTGTGCCCTTTTTACCCATTCTTTGTTCTGTGGTGTGCCTGTGGTTTGAGCTTGGTGTTTTGTCTCGAGGAAACGTGGGTCAGATGCAAAGTAAGCCTACTCCACTAGGAAGTATGTTGAAAAATTTTAAGAAAGGATTTAATGGAGACTTTGGGGAACTTAGAACTTTGTGTGAAATAGATTGGCCAACATTAGAAGTAGGGTGGCCATCAGAAGGAAGCCTGGACAGGTCCCTTGTTTCTAAGGTATGGCACAAGGTAACTAGTAAGTCAGGACACCCAGACCCGTTCCCATACATAGACACTTGGTTACAGCTGATGCTAAAACCCCCACAGTGGCTAAGAGGGCAGGCAGCAGCAGTGCTAGTAGCAAAGTGACAGATAGCCAAGGAAGGATCCCGCTCCACCCGCCGAGGGAAATCAACTCCTGAAGTTCTGTTCGACCCAACATCAGAAGATCCATTGCAGGAGATGGCACCAGTGATCCCAGTGGTGCCCTCTCCTTACCAGGGAGGCAGGCTCCCCACTTTTGAGTCCACAGTGCTTGCGCCTCCACAAGACAAACATTTCCCTAGGCCACCCAGAGTAGACAAGAGAGGAGGTGAGGACTCGGGAGAAACCCCTCCCTTGGTAGCTCATTTAAGACCCAAAACGGGGACACAAATGCCCCTGAGAGAGCAGCGGTATACTGGGATAGATGAGGATGGTCACGTGGTGGGGAGGCGTGTTTTTGGGTACCAGCCCTTCACCTCTGCCCACCTTCTCAACTGGAAAAACAATACCCCATCCTGTACCGAAAAGCCACAAGCTCTGATTGATTTGCTCCAAACTATTATCCAGACCCATAACCCCACCTGGGCTGATTGCCACCAGTTGCTCATGTTCCTCTTTAACACAGATGAAAGGCGGAGAGTGCGCCAAGAAGCAACTAAGTGGCTAGAGGAACATGCACCAGCTGATTACCAAAACCCTCAAGAGTATGTAAGCACCCAGTTACCAGGAACTGATCCCCAGTGGGACCCACATGAAAGAGAGGATATGCAAAGGCTAAACAGAGACAGGGAAGCTCTCTTGGAAGGATTAAAGAGGGGAGCCCAGAAGACCACAAATGTTAACAAAGTCTCTGAGGTCATTCAGAGAAAAGAAGAAAGTCCAGCACAATTAGGAGAGACTGTGTGAGGCCTATGGTGTGTATACTCCCTTTGATCCTGATAGCCCTGAAAATCAAGGCATGATTAACATGGCTTTAGTTAGTCAAAGCGCAGAAGACATTAGAAGAAAACTGCAGAAACAGGCTGAGTTTGCAGGGATGAACACATCACAGTTATTTGAAATAGCTAACCAGGTGTTTGTAAATAGGGATGCAGGGATGCAGTAAGCCGTAAGGAAAACCACAGAGACAATGAACCTCAGGCCCAGCGAAACACTGACCTGTTAGCGACAGCAATCAAAGGGGTCCCCCAAAGAGGCAAGGGAAGGGGGGCCCCGGGAAGGAAACTCAGCCTGGCTCTCAGAGCTTGCAGCGTAATCAGTGTGCTTATTGTTAAGAAATAGGACAATGGAAAAACAAATACCCTCAGCTAAAAAGAAAACCAGGTGACTCAGAGCAGGAGGCCCCGGACAAGGATGAAGGGGCCCTGCTCAACCTGGCAGAAGGGTTATTGGACTGAGGGGGACTGGGCTCAAGGACCCCCAAAGAGCCCATGGTCAGGATGACAGTTAGGGGTAAAGACATTGATTTTCTTGTAGATACCGGTGCTAAACATTCGGTAGTAACCGCCCCGGTCGCCCCCTTATCCAAAAAGATTATTGACATCATCGGAGCCACGGGAGTTTCAGCAAAGCAAGCTTTCTGCTTGCCTCGGACTTGTGCTGTAGGAGGACATAAAGTGATTCATCAGTTTTTGTACACACCTGACTGTCCCTTGTGCTTGTTGGGAAGGGACTTGCTTAGCAAACTGAGAGCCACTATCTCTTTTACAGAGCATGGCTCTTTGCTGCTAAAGTTACCCAGAATGGGAGTCATTATGACCCTTACGGTCCCCCGAGAGGAAGAATGGAGACTTTTCTTAACTGAGTGGGGCCAAGAGATAAGACCAGCTCTGGCTAAGCTGTGGCCAAGAGTGTGGGTGGAAGACAACCCTCCAGGGTTTGCAACCAAGCCCCCGTACTTATAGACGTTAAGCCTAGGGCCCAGCCGATTAGGCAAAAACAGGAGCCGGTCCCCAGAGAAGCTCTTGAAGGTATCCAGGTCCATCTCAAGCACCTAAGAACTTTTGGAATTAGAGTTCCTTGTCAGTCTCCATGGAACACTCCCCTCCTGCCTGTTCCCAAGCCTAAGACCAAGGACTACTGGCCGGTACAGGATTTGCACTTGGTGAATCAGGCTACAGTGACTTTACATCCAGCAGTACTTAACCCGTACACTTTGCTGGGGTTGCTGCCAGCTGAGGACAGCTGCTTCACCTGCTTGGACCTGAAAGATGCTTTCTTTAGCATCAGATTAGCCCCTGAGAGCCAGAAGCTGTTTGCCTTTCAGTGGGAAGATCTGGAGTCAGGTGTCACTACTCAGTACACTTGGACCGGGCTTCCCCAAGGGTTCAAGAACTCCCCCACCATCTTCGGGGAGGCATTGCCTCGAAACCTCCAGAAGTTTCCCACCAGAGACCTAGACTGCGTGTTGCTTCAGTACGTTGATGACCTTTTGCTGGGACACTCCACGGCAGCCGGGTGCACCAAAGGAACAGATGCTCTACTCCGGCACCTGGAGGACTGTGGGTATAAGATGTCCAAGAAAAAAGCTTAGATCTGCTGACAGCAGGTACATTACTTGGGATTTACTATCCGAAAGGGGGAGAGCAGCCTAGGATCAGAAAGAAAGCAGGTCATTTGAAATCTACCGGAGCCTAAGACCAGAAGGCAGGTGAGAGAATTCTTATGGGCTGTGGGGTTTTGCAGACTGTAGATCCCAAACTTTGCAGTATTAGCCAAGCCTTTGTATGAGGTCACAAGGAGGGGGGGGGTGGGACTTTTTGAATGGGGATCCCAGCAACAGCAAGCCTTTCATGAGATAAAGGAAAGATTTATATCAGCCCCAGCCCTGGGGCTACCCGATCTAACAAAGCCTTTTCCATCGTATGTGTCAGAGAGAGAAAAGATGGCAGTTGGAGTTTTAATCCCAACTATGGGTCTCTGGCCGAGGCCGGTGGCCTTCCTCTCTAAACAACTAGACGGGGTTTCTAAAGGATGGCCCCTGTGTTTAAGGGCCTTGGCAGCAACTGCCCTGCTAGTACAAGAAGCAGATAAGCTGACTCTTGAAGAAAACCTGAACATAAAGGCCCCCCATGCTGTGGTGACTTTAATGAATACTAAAGGACATCATTGGCTAATGAATGCTAGACTCACTAAGTACTAAAGTTTGCTCTGTGAAAATCCCCGTATAACCATTGAAGTTTGTAACACCCTGAACCCCACTACCTTGCTCCCAGTATCAGAGAGCCCTGTCGAGCGTGACTGTGTAGAAGTGTTGGACTCAGTTTACTCTAGCAGACCTAACCTCCAGGACCAGCCTTAGGCATCAGTAGACTAGGAACTATACGTGGCTGGGAGCAGCTTCATCAACCCACAAGGAGAGAGATGTGCAAGATATGCGGTGGTAACTCTGGACACTGTTGCTGAAGCCAGATCGTTTCCCCAGGGCACTTCAGCTCAGAAAGCTGAACTCACTGCTTTCATTCGGGCCTTAGAACTCAGTGAAGCTAAGAATGTCAACATTTACACTGAGTCTTAATATGCCTTTTCAACCCTTCAAGTGCGTGGAGCATTATATAAAGAAAAGGGCCTAATGAACTCTGGGGGAAAAGACATAAAATATCAACAAGAAATCTTGCAATTATTAAAAGCCGTATGGAGACCCCACAAGGTGGCAGTTATGCATTGCAGAGGACACCAGCGAGCTTCCACCTTGGTTGGTTTAGGGAATTCCCGCGCTGACTTAGAGGCTCGAAAAGCAGCATCTGCCCCCTTCCGGGCATCAGTCACAGCCCCCATGCTCCCTCAAGCACCTGATCTTGTACCTACTTATTCTAAAGATGAAAAGGACTTTCTCCAGGCAGAGAGAGGACAAGTGATGGAGGAAGGATGGATTCGGTTACCGGATGGGAGAGTAGCTGTGCCACAGCTGCTGGGAGCTGCAGTTGTACTGGCTGTGCATGAAACCACCCATCTAGGTCAGGAATCACTTGAAAAGTTGTTAGGCTGGTATTTCTACATCTCGCATTTGTCAGCTCTTGCCAAAACGGTGAGGCAGCGGCGTGTTACCTGCCGACAGCATGATGCGAGGCAAAGTCCAGCCATTCCACCCGGCATACAAGCTTATGGAGCACCCCCTTTGAAGATCTCCAGGTGGACTTCACAGAGATGTCAAAGTGTAGAGGTAACAAGTATTTACTAGTTCTTGGGCGTACCTAATCTGGGTAGGTGGAGGCTTATCCAACACGAACTGAGAAAGCTTGTAAAGTAACTCGTGTGCTTCTTCGAGATCTTATTCCTAGATTTGAACTGCCCTTATGGATCAGCTCAGATAACAGGCCGGCATTTTTGGCTGACTTAGTACAGAAGGCGGCAAAGATATTAGGGATCACATGGAAACTGCATGCTGCCTACTGGCCTCAGAGTTCCAGAAAGGTGGAGTGAATGAATCAAACTATCAAAAATAGTTTAGGGAAAGTATGTCAGGAAACAGGATTAAAATGGATACAGGCTCTCCCTATGGTATTATTTAAAATTAGATGTACCACTTATAAAAGAACAGGATATTCCCCTTATGAAATATTATATCATAGGCCCCCTCCTATATTGCGGGGACTTCCAGGCACTCCCTGAGAGTTAGGTGAAATTGAGTTACAGCGACAGCTACAGGCCTTAGGAAAAATGACACAAACAATCTCAGCCTGGGTAAATGAGAGATGCCCTGTTAGCTTATTCTCCCCAGTTCACCCATTCTCCCCAGGTGATCGAGTGTGGATCAAGACCTGGAACGGAGCCTCTTCGTGTCCACTGTGGAAAGGACCCCAGACTGTCGTTCTGAGCACTCCCACCGCTGTGAAGGTAGAAGGAATCCCAGCCTGGATCCACCACAGCCATGTAAAACCTGCAGCGCCTGAAACCTGGGAGGCAAGACCAAGCCCAGACAACCCTTGCAGAGTGACCCTGAAGAAGACGACAAGCCCTGCTCCAGTCACACCCTGAAGCTGACTGGTCCACGCACGGCCGAAGCATGAGGAAGCTCATCGTTGGATTCATTTTTCTTAAATTTTGGACTTATACAGTAAGGGCTTCAACTGATCTTACTCAAACTGGGGACTGTTCCCAGTGTATTCATCAGGTCACCGAAGTAGGACAGCAAATTAAAACAATCTTTCTGTTCTATAGTTATTATGAATGTATGGAAACAATAAAAGAAACTTGTTTGTATAATGCCACTCAGTACAAGGTATGTAGCCCGAGAAATGACCAACCTGATGTGTGTTATAACCCATCTGAGCCCCCTGCAACCACCGTTTTTGAAATAAGAATAAGAACTGGCCTTTTCCTAGGTGATACAAGTAAAATAATAACTAGAACAGAAGAAAAAGAAATCCCCAAGCAAATAACTTTAAGATTTGATGCTTGTGCAGCCATTAATAGTAAAAAGCTAGAAATAGGATGTGGTTCTCTTAACTGAGAAAGGAGCTAAAGAGTAGAAAATAAATATGTTTGTCATGAGTCAGGGGTTTGTAAAAATTGTGCCTATTGGCCATGTGTTATTTAGGCTACTTAAAAAAAGAACAAAAAGGACCCGGTTTATCTTCAGAAGGGGGAAGCCAACCCCTCCTGTGCTGCTGGTCACTGTAACCCACTAGAACTAATAATTACCAATCCCCTAGATCCCCTTTGGAAAAAGGGAGAACGTGTAACCCTGGGGATCAATAGGACAGGGTGAAACCCTCAAGTTGCCATTTTAATTAGAGGGGAGGTCCACAAGTGCTCTCCCAAACCAGTATTTCAAACCTTTTATGAGGAGCTGAATCTGCCAGCACCAGAACTTCTGAAAAAGACAAAAAATGTGTTTCTCCAATTAGCAGAAAATGTAATTTTCTTACTTAATGTTACTTCTTGTTATGTATGCGGAGGAACCACTATCGGAGACAGATGGCCTTGGGAAGCCCGAGAGTTGGTGCCTACTGATCCAGCTCCTGATATAATTCCAGTTAGAAGGCCGAAGCTAGCAACTTCTAGGTCCTAAAAACCTCAATTATTAGACAATACTGTATAGCTAGAGAAGGGAAACACTTTATCATCTCTGTAGGAAAGCTTAATTGTATAGGACAGAAGTTGTATAACAGCACAACAAAGACAATTACTTAGTAGGGCCTAAACCACACTGAAAAGAATCCATTTAGTAAATTTTCTAAATTAAAAAATGCTTAGGCTCATCCAGAATCTCATCAGGACTGGACGGTTCCCACTGGACTATACTAGATATGTAGGCACAGAGCCTACATTCGGTTACCTAATAAATGGGCAGGCAGTTGTGTTATTGGCACTATTAAGCCATCCTTTTTCTTATTACCCATAAAAATGGGTGAGCTCCTAGGTTTCCCTGTCTACGCCTCCCGAGAAAAGAAAGGCACAGTTATAGGAAACTGGAAAGATAATGAGTGGCCCCCTGAAAGGATCATTCAGTATTATGGGCCTGCCACATGGGCACAAGACGGCTTATGGGGATACCGAACCCCCATCTACATGCTCAATTGGATCATACGGTTGCAGGCCATCTTAGAAATAATTACTAATGAAACTGGCAGAGCTTTGACTGTTTTAGCTTGGCAAGAAACCCAAATAAGGAATGCTATCTATCAGAATAGACTGGCCTTAGACTACTTGCTAGTAGCTGAAGGAGGAGTTTGTGGAAAATTTAACTTAACCAATTGCTGCCTACAAATAAGTGATCAAGGACAGGTGGTTAAAAACATAGTCAGGGACATGACAAAGGTGGCACATGTGCCTGTACAGGTTTGGCACGAGTTTAATCCTGAGTCTTTATTGGAAAAATGGTTTCCAGCTATAGCAGGATTTAAAACCCTCATTGTAGGTGTATTGCTAGTGATAGGAACTTGCTTGCTGCTCCCCTGTGTATTACCCTTGCTTTTTCAAATGATAAAAGGTTTTGTAGCTACTTTAGTTCATCAGAAAACTTCAGCACACGTGTGTTATATAAATCACTATCGCTCTATCTCACAAATAGACTCAAAAAGTAAAGATGAGAGTGAGAACTCCCACTAAAAAGTGAAAATGCTCAAAGGGGGAAATATGGTATGAGACCACCACTTCTCCGGTTGTCCTTCCCAGTTTCTCCCCAACCTCCCCTTTTCCCTAGTTTGTAAGACAGCAAAAAAGGGAGAAAGCAAAAAGTTGGAAAAAACAGAAGTAAAATAAATAGCTAGACGACCTTGGTGCCACCACCTGGACCTGGTGGTTAAAATATCAATAATATTAACCCCTGACCAAAACTACTGGTGTTATCTGTAAATTCCAGACATTGTATGAGAAAGCATTGTAAAAACTTTTTATTCTGTTAGCTGATGTATGTAGCCCCCAGTCACGTTCCTCACGCTTACTTGATCTATTATGACTTTTTCACGTAGACCGCTTAGAGTTGTCAGCCCTTAAAAGGGCTAGGAATTTCTTTTTCCGGGAGCTCGGCTCTTAAGACACGAGTCTGCCGACGCTCCCGGCTGAACAAAAAAACCTCTTCCTTCTTTAATCCGGTGTCTGAGGAGTTTTGTCTGCAACTCGTCCTGTTACACTAGCTCTCCGTGACTCATCCCAACCCTTTTCATTACACACAGCCGAAGTGCAGCGCTGTGCAGTTGAAATTCTTACACAAGGACCAGGATCACGTCCTGTAGCCTTTTTGTCCAAACAACTTGACCTTATTGTTTTAGGTTGGCTGTTATGTCTCTGTGCAGCAGCTGCTCCCACCCTAATACTTTTAAAGGCCCTTAAAATCACAAACTATGCTCAACTCACTCTCTACAGCTCTCATAATTTCCAAAATGTATTTTCTTCCTCACACCTGCCACATATACATTCTGCTCCCCAGCTCCTTCTGCTGTACTCTTTGTTGAGTCTCCCACAATTACCATTGTTCCTGGCCCGGACTTCAATCCGGCCTCCCACATTATTCCTGATACCACACCTGACCCCCATGACTGCATCTCTCTGATCCACCTGACATTCACCCCATTTCCCCACATTTCCTTCTTCCCTGTTTCTCACCCTGACCACACTTAGTTTATTGATGGCAGTTCCACCAGGCCTAATTGTCACACACCAGCAAAAGCAGGCTATGCTATAGTACAAGCCACTAGCCCACCTCTCAGAACCTCTCGTTTCCTTTCCATTGTGGAAATCTATCCTCAAGGAAATAACTTCTCAGTGTTCCATCTGCTATTCTACTACTCCTCAGGGATTCTTCAGGCCCCCTCCCTTCCCTACACATCAAGCTCAGGGATTTGCCCCCACCCAGGACTCCCAAATTAGCTTTACTCAACGTGCCCTGAGTCAGGAAACCAAAATAACTCTTGGTCTAGGTAGACACTTTCACTGGATAGGTAGAGGCCTTTCCCACAGGGTCTGAGAAGGCCACCACGGTCATTTCTTCCCTTCTGTCAGACATAATTCCTCAGTTTGGCCTTCCCACCTCTATACAGTCTGATAGCAGACCGGCCTTTATTAATCAAGTCAGTCAAGCATTTTTTCAGGCTCTTAGTGTTCAGTGAAACCTTTATATCCCTTACAGTCCTCAGTCTTCAGGAAAGGTAGAACAGACTAATGGTCTTTTAAAAACACACCTTACCAAGCTCAGCCACCAACTGAAAAAGGACTGGACAATACTTTTACCACTTTCCCTTCTCAGAAGTCAGGCCTGTCCTTGGAATGCTGCAAGGTACAGCCCATTTGTTGCGGGAAGTCAGGGACCCCAAAACGGAGGGACCGGCTGAAGCCATGGCAGAAGAACGTGGATTGTGAAGATTTTATGGACATTTATTAGTTCCCAATTAATACTTTTGTAATTTCTTATGCCTGTCTTTACTGCAATCTCCAAATATAAATTGTAAAGATTTCATGGACGCTTATCACTTCCCCAGTCAATATCCTTGTGATTTCCTATGCCTGTCTTTGCTTTAATCTCTTAATCCTGTCAGCCGAGAAGGATGTATATCGTCTCAGGACCCTGTAATAATTGCGTTAACTACACAAATTGTACAGCATGTGTGTTTGAGCAATATGAAATGTGGGCATCCTGAAAAAAGAACAGGATAACAGCAATTGTTCAGGGAATAAGAGAGATAACCTTAAACTCTGACCGCTGGTGAGCCGGGCAGAACAGAGCCATATTTCTCTTCTTTCAAAAGCAAATGGGAGAAATATCGCTGAATTCCTTTTCTCAGCATGGAACGTCCCTGAGAAAGAGAATCCACACCTAGGGGTAGGTCTCTGAACTGGCACCCCCAGGGCGTACCTGTCTCTTATGGTTGAGATTGCAGAGGTGAAATAAACTCCAGTCTCCCATAGCGCTCCCAGGCTTATTAGGAAGAGGAAATTCCCACCTAATAAACTTTGGTCAGACCGGTTAATCTCAAAACCCTGTCTCCTTATAAGATGTTATCAATGACAATGGTGCCAAAACTTCATTAGCAATTTTAATTTCACCTCGGTCCTGTGGTCCTGTGATCTCACCCTGTCTCCACTTGCCTTGTGATATTCTATTACCTTGTTAAGTACTTGATGTCTGTCACCCACACCTATTCGTATACTCCCTCCACTTTTGAAACTCCCTAATAAAAACTTGCTGGTTTTTGTGGCTTGTGGGGAATCACGGATCCTACCAATGTGTGCTGTCTCCCCCGGACGCCCAGCTTTAAAATTTCTCTCTTTTGTACTCTGTCCTTTTATTTCTGAAGCCAGTCGACGCTTAGGAAAATAGAAAAGAACCTACATGATTATCGGGGCAGGTCCCCCGATACCCATTGGATCTCCTGTATAGACGCTCCTTTTTATTAGGCCCCAGTCTCATTCCAGACACAAGACCAACTTGGACTGTGCCCCAAAAAGCTTGTCATCCCTACTATCTTCTGCCTAGTCATACTCCTATTCACCGTTCTCAACTACTCATATATGCCCTGCTCTTGTTTACACTGGTGGTTTACACTGTTTCTCCAAGCCATCACAGCTGATATCTCCTGGTGCTATCCCCAAACCACCACTCTTAACTCTTAAATAATCTTTGCTCTCAAGGTTATGCTGAACCTCCTTAGGCACTCTAATTAGATGTCCTAGGTCCTCCCAATTCTTAGTCCTTTAATACCTGTTTTTCTCCTTCTCTTATTCCGTTTAGTTTTTCAATTCATACAAAACTGTATCCAGGCCATCACCAATAATTCTAAATGACAAATGTTTCTTCTAACAACCCCACAATATCACCCCTTACCACAAAATATTCTTTCAGCTTAATCTCTCCCACTCTAGGTTCCCATGCCACCCCAATCCTGCTCGAAGCAGCCCTGAGAAACATCGCCCATTATCTCTCCATACCACCCCCAAAAAATTTTCACCATCCCAATACTTTACCACTATTTCATTTTATTTTTCTTATTAATATAAGAAGACAGGAACGTCAGGCCTCTGAGCCCAAGGTAAGCCATCATATCCCTTGTGACCTGCATGTACACATCCAGATGGCCGGTTCCTGCCTTAATTGATGACATTCCACCACAAAATAAATGAAAATGTCCTGTTCCTGCCTTAAAGGATGACATCATCTTGTGAAATTCCTTCTCCTTGCTCATCCTGGCTCAAAAGCTCCCCTACTGAGCACCTTGTGACCCCCACACCTACCTGCCAGAGAACCCCCCTTTTTCCTTTACCTACCCAAATCCTATAAAGTGGCCCCACCCCTATCTCCCTTCACTGACTCTCTTTTTGGACTCAGCCCACCTGCACCCAGGTGAAATAAACAGCTTTATTGCTCACAAAAAGCCTGTTTTGTGGTCTCTTCACACGGACGCGCATGAAAAAGAGCGTCCTTTTTTTTTTTAGATGGAGTTTCACTCTTGTTGCCCAGGCTGGAGTGCAATGTCATGATCTCAGCTCACTGCCACCTCCTCCTCCTGGGTTCAAGCAACTCTCTTGCCTCAGCCTCCCCAGTAGCTGGGATTGCAGGCATGCACCACCATGCCCAGCTAATTTTGTATTTTTAGTAGAGATGGGGTTTCTCCATGTTGGTCAGGCTGGTCTCAAACTCCTGACCTGAGGTGATCTACCTGCCTCGGCCTCCCAAAGTGCTGGGATTACAGGCATGAGCCACTGCGCCTGGACAAAAGTGTCCTCTTATAAGGACATTTGTCTTTAGATGTACAGCCTACCTAAAATACTTCAGGATAATCTCAAGATCCTTAACTTAATTACATCTGCAAAGACCCTTTTTCCAAATAATGCCACCTCCACAGATTCTAGGCACAAGGATCTGGATATATCTTGTGCAAAGCCACCATTCAGCTCACTACACTAGAAAGAGGAAAAACAACGAAGTAACAAAAGGCGCAGAAGAAAGAACAGATGCAGCTTGTGTGGCAGTGGCCATCAAGGCAGGCTGGGGTAAAACTGTGTCAACAGAACCCCCAGATGGAATTCAAGTGCGGCCTCCTGCTCCCAGCTACTCACAGAGAAGGTTTCTGTTTCTGACAGCAGAGTAAGAGAAGGGGTGGGAAGAGAGATAGCCCATTCTCTGTTGGCCTAATTCCTAAGGAGTTGTGCCTCTGCCTTCGGGTCATTCTCAAGTCTTGTTCAGGGATAAAATGATTTATTGATGGTTGTAATTAAAAAGCAATGCCAACAGAATCAGCCTCAGCATTTTTCATTTGCACTTACACATGAGCAAGAGCAGTTTAGGGAAACGGGTGTCTTCAGGTTCTGTTTTCTCCATCTAGAAAAGAGTTGCCTGCGTGGAATGCTGGTCCTGGGGAGAAGCCTCATTTCTACAGCAGGAATTGATAGAGTTTTAAATTCCGATTGGTACACGGAGCTACCCGTCCTCATTTCAAGCACTTCTGGTTTGTTCTGGGTTCAGTGGGTGAGCAATGAGTAGAACTCTGGGGAGGAGGATTTGGAGTAAGCGTGGTTTTGATCCCCAGAGGGAGCTGTTTTTCCATCAATGTCTTGACTGTGATTCAGAATGGGCTTCTCCGCTGGGAGAACTGGGAGTACTGGGCTAATTTAAGGCAGGTGATTGACTTGATTTGGTGGCTACTTTTATACTAGCTGGTTAACGAGCTATTTTCTTCATTAGTTTCAGGCATATGAGCTTAATGAAGCATTGGACCTCCCAAATTACAAGGAAAATACAGATATAGCTTATGTGGTAGGTTCAAAGGAGTTAGTGAACAAACACAGTAGGGCCACAAATTATTGTTAAAGACATGAATGCATGAAAGTGTATCTCTGTCCAAATGGACTCTCCACAACCATACTGTTCCACCTGAAAATTAGTACATAGAAATTCAGCAAATGCTTGGACAGGGGATACTCTCAGAAGTATTCTGACTAAATAGCATGGTTTCTTTTCATACCACTAAAGTAATTTCTTCTCAAATTGACTCTGGACTAAATCTTATGATACCTACTTGTTCCGATTGTACTTAGCCACCTGCAAATAAGGTGGGGGCAGTGGTAAGAGGAGCTGTTGAATGAAATTAAACATTCGTTGGATGCCTACAGAAGATAAAGCCCTGTGCTTTGTGCCAGGGAGGTTCCAGAATAAATGAGGCACAGACCTACTCTCAGGAAGCTTTTGCAAACTAATGGAGAAAACACATCTGCAGGCAATGACTTATGGTATAAGAGGAAATGGGGCCAGGTATGGTGACTCACACCTGTAATCCCAGCACTTTGGGAGGCCGAGGTAGGGGGATCACTTGAGGTCAGGAGTTCAAGACCAGCCTGGCCAACATGGCGAAACACTGTCTCTACTAAAATTACCAAAAAAAAAAAAAAAAATGAGCCAGGCTTGATGGTGTGCACCTGCAATCCCAGCTACATGGGAGGCTGAGGCACAAGAATCACTTAAACCTGGGAGGTGGAGACTGTAGTGAGCCGAGATCCCACCACTGCACTCCAGCCTAGAAGACAGAGCGAGACTCCGTCAAAAAAAAAAAAAGGAAATAAGATTGGTGTTGAATGGGAAATCTAAGCAGGATGGAATGACAGGAGAGCACCCACTTGCCCAGCTCCAATAACACTTTTGACAGCCAAGACAATATTGCAGGGACACCCATTCCTCATGGTATCTGAAGCCCCATGAAGGCTTGAGTCTGGAGGCTGGTTCAGTCTTGACTTTAAGATAAGGCGATACAAGGAATGATTTTCACCTATCCCAAGCCAATAGTCCAGCCAAAAATCTAGGTCTGAGATGATGAGAAAAAGCAAGTCATCAACCATGTCAGCCATTTCATCATCATCTTCATCATCAAAAACAAAAGACAGACCTGTACCCATCTTGCGTGCCTGGCTCTCATCTTAGTTCAAAATATAGAAGTAAATTCTATGGCCAGCGAACAATGACCAAAATAGCTCTCATCACTCTTGTCTGCCACCATGTAAGACATTCCTTTTGCCTTCCACCATGATTTCGAGACTTCTTCAGCCACATGGAACTGTGAGCCCATTAAACCTCTTTTTCTTTATAAATTACCCAGTCTTGAGTAATAAAATAGTGGTTTGTCCACAACATCAATGAACGATGCTGTTACTTGTTCCAAACATGTATCATTTAAGAGGTTTGGATAAACAACAACCTAAAATAAATAAGCACTAAGCAAACTCAGGGCTACATAATCCCTGTGGTGAGGTAACTGACAATGGGTACAACTGGGACACTTTACTGTTAAATCACCTCTATCTACATGTGCCCAAGCAGTGAGATACTTGGTTTTAATCCTAAAAAATCATGGTGCACATTTACTCCTGCCTTCCAACTGGGCTCTAACGTCACCTCCTCAGAGAAGCCCGCTTTTCTGTGCTTCCACTCTGCTTTTTTTCAGCATTTAGTAGAGCATCAGTCACCATCCATATCTGGCAACAACGATTGTAAGAAACAGAAACCCATTTGCATGAGCTTGAGGACAAGGAACACACATTATCTCTAACAGGCAAACTCATGGGCACAAGAAACAAATGAGAGGCCATGAGAGAATGGAAACTGCAGTTACAGAAACCAAAATTCCACTTTCTTGCTCTCAGAAGCCCATGGTCTCTTTTTTTTTTCTTTTTTCTTTTTTTTTTTTTTTTTTTTTTTTTTTGAGACGCAGGCTCGCTCTGTTGCCCAGGCTGGAGTGCAGTGGTGCGATCTCAGTTCACTGCAAGCTGCACCTCCTGGGGTTCATGCCATTCTCCTGCCTCAGCCTCCCAATTAGCTGGGGCTACAGGCACCCGCCACCACACCCAGCTAATTTTTGTATTTTTAGTAGAGATGGGGTTTCACCGTGTGTGCCAGGATGGTCTCAATCTCCTGACCTCGTGATCCGACCATCCTGGCCTCCCAAAGTGCTGGGATTACAGGCGTGAACCACCGCACCTGGAAGCCCATGGTCTTTCTTATCAGGCCTGTGGACTTTCTTATCTCTTCTTCTCACTCACAACCAATTTTCCCTTTTTGCTGGTGGCCCATCATGGCAGCCAGCAGAGCCCACCGCCAGCTGATCAGTCAGTTACTGGATATCTTGGAGAGGGAGGGAGGGAGAGAGGGAGAGGTAGAGAGAGAGAGAGAATGACAATTGGGCTTCTGGCCAACCAATTGAGTATAGGGAGGGGAAGTACCATGGTACAAATATAGCGCCAAGACCTGCTTTCCAGCATGGCCAGTGAGTAGGGAAATTGAGAGAAGGTACCTGCAAACACAGTAGACATCTCAGAACATGCTCTCTGTTCTTAGTTCTCTCTCCTGCCTTCTCCTAGATTGTAAATACCACAAGACAATCTAGGATAGTACCTGGCTCAAAATATTTGAGAAAGAGAAAAAGGAAGGCATTGGATCAAACTGTGGACTTCATGGTTTCCTAAATTCACTCTGCAAGTTTTTGGGTTTTTTGTTTTTTGAGACAGAGTCTCGCTCTGCTGCCCAGGCTGGAGTGCAATGGCATAATCTTGGCTCACTGCAACCTCCACCTCCCAGGTTCAAGAAAATCCCCTGCCTCAGCCTCCTGAGTAGCTGGGATTACAGGCACGCACAGCTACACCAGTTAATTTTTGTATTTTTAGTAAAGACAGGGTTTCACCATGTTGGCCAGGCTGGTCTCGAACTCTTGGCCTCGTGATCCACCCACGTCAGCTTCCCAAAGTGCTGGGATTACAGGTGTGAGCCACCACACCTGGCCGACTCTGCAAGTATTTAAGTGAATGAATGTCAGTCCCTGAGAATCAGAATTTCTTCTGATTTAACGGCATTAAATCTCCGTTAGGTTTAATCCTGGTCAGCAGCTGTGGGGTGTCTTGGCTTTGGGATCAGTGGGATGAGGAACAAGCAGGTTCTCCAAACCACCACTCAGGGAGGGGAGGTGTTAACTAGGCCAAAGATGATGGGTGGGGTACGTTCCTGGGTTTCAAACAGCTTATGCCAGGCCTAAAAACCGACGCTGAGGAAGAAACTGTGTTAAGCAAATTGATGACACAATGGAGGGGGTCAAAAAGTTTAATATTGCTAAGAAGAATACAAATATTGATCATGCAATATGTTATGGTTATCACGCCATCTCCTGCTACATGCCAGGTTTCCTTTACCATGAGATAGAAGAGATTTGTGGATCTGACCCAACCTTCCAAATTGTAAGGTCCCTGAGAGTGGGCTCATGACATTCATGTTTATAAATGTGGCATAAAGCCTCACGCTGGCTGCCATGTGGCCCAATGCCAGTTCGATGCTACATTCAAAGAACCATCATTCCAGCATGCAAGCATACTTAAAGGCAACTGAAATGTTTACCGCCATCCCTCAAGACAAACACCAAAGAAAAATTATTTTCAAAATGCATAACAACCATTCTTAAAATCTTATTTTCCCATCTCTTTCTCTCTCTCTACCGCATTCCCAGGAGTTTCCCAGGAGCAAAACTGTCATAAAGACCCAGGAGCAAAATGATTAATGACTTCACTATATCTGATTCTGATTTAGTTGGTTTAGAGTGGTGTCCGCGCATAAGTATTTTTTAATATCTTGCTGGGCACAGTGGCACACAGCTGTAGTCTCAGCTACTTGGGAGACTGAGGCAGAAGAGTCACTTGAGCCCGGGAGTTTGAGTCCAGCCTGGGCAACAGAGCAAGACCCTGTCTCTGAAAAAAAAAAAAAAAAGCAAAAACAAATCTCTCTCAGCTGCAGTCAGGGTTGATAACTAGTTGATCAAAAAATTGTGGTAGCCATCCTTCACAATGGACTTTAATATTCCCACCTCCTGGTGTTATTCATTGTGGAATCTGTCTTAGCTAGTCCTCAATTGGTTCTGGTATCCAGGCCCCACCTTGAGAGGCTAGTCCCACCTCCTACCTCACACATGGTTTTACACTTACTTTCAAGACTGGCCTAAAAATGTAAAATGTATTTGTTTTGACCTTGTTTCCAATGAAACGACTATTCTAAACATTCATTTAGGATGGTTAGGGAAATTTGAACACCGGCTAAATATTAGAAGATATTTGCTTCAAAATAACCCAGCTTGGTAATGAGATGATGGCGGCTGAGGCTGGTGATAGGCACAGAGGGCTTCATTATCAAATAGAAACAAGTGGAAAAAACAGAATTTTTCCATAATACAAATGTAAGGTAAACACGAAAATGTACTGAGTGCATAAAAAGGATTTATGGTCTCACAGGCATTAGCTTATAATTTTAACATCAAAAATAAAAGTGACGGCCAGGTGCAGTGGCTGATGCCTGTAATCCCAGCACTTTGGGAGACCGAGGTGGGTGGATCACGTGAGCCCAGGAGTTTGAGACCAGCCTGAGCAACATAGTGAGACCCCCATCTCTAAAATAAGTAAATATAAATAAAAGTGACTAGAATTGATTATAGAACATCAACTCGATTTGAGTCTATAAAGATTACTGGTGGAGGGGGGCAATGGGGAGAAGGAGGAAGAGAATATATTTGTGACCTAGATTATGTTCCCTAGTTTTGAGAGAATCTTCGGGTCTCCTGGGTCTTCTAGCCCAGTATTTATGTTTATTTTTTATTTATTTATTTATATTTTTTTAGATGGAGTCTCACTCTGCCACCAGACTGGAGTGCAGTGGTGCGATCTCAGGCCACTGCAACTTCCGCCTCCCAGGTTCAATCTATTCTCCTGTCTCAGCCACCCAAGTAGCTGGGACTACAGGTACCTGCCACTTCACCCAGATAATTTTTTTTTTTTTTTTGAGACAGAGTCTGGCTCTGTTGCCCAGGCTGGAGTGCAGTGTTGCAATCTGGGCTCACTGCAAGCTCCACCTCCCAGGTTCATGCCATTCTCCTCCCTCAGCCTCCCGAGTAGTTGGGACTACAGGCACCTGCCACCATGCCTGGCTAATTTTTTTGTATTTTTAGTAGAGAAAGGGTTTCACCGTGTTAGCCAGGATGGTCTCGATCTCCTGACCTCGTGATCTGCCCGCCTCAGCCTCCCAAAGTGCTGGGATTACAGGCATGAGCCACTGTGCCCGGCCGCACCCAGCTAATTTTTGTATTTTTTGTAGAGATGGTGTTTCACCATGTTGATCCAGGCTGGTCTCAAACTCCTGACCTTAGGTGATCCGCCCGCCTTGGCATCCCAAAATACAAGGATTACAGGCATGAGTCACCACACCCTGCCTATTTTCCTTAGTTTTCAGAGAACCTTTGTGTCCCCTGGGTGTTCTAGCCCAGTATATCTCAAACTTTGCTGCACCGAGGACCTTGTTGAAATGCAGGTTCTCATCTGCGAGGCTCAGTGGGCTGGCAAATCTGCATTGGTTTAGGAAGCTCACCCTGAGTACCAAGCTTCAGTGAGGACCAGGCAGGCCCCTGCCTGCCAACGCCCTCTCAGCTGGGCTTAACTCTGGCTCTCTCCTGCCAGGGTTCCTCCCCTCAAAATAGGAGCTATTTTCAAAAAGTCTCTTGGAAAAAAGGCCCTTTTTTAAAATTGGGGTGTTCAGGATTGGCCATGTGCTCACCATGGGGTTTTAAGACCTTTGCCCAGACCCCTGCAACCAACTTAGAACTGACATCTTTACTTTTGAAGGCCCCACTCCACACCATATTAAATTCATTAAAATCAACCCCCATTACAGGCATATCTCAGGCATCAGGCCCTCAGAACGGAGTTGCAGCTGATCACTTGACAGTGTTGTAAAGCATTAAACAAGCATTCATTTCAGCCTTGCAGTTTGCATATTTAGGAGCCAATTGTCTTAGGTCTAAAGCATTCATGCCGAAGCATTTTTATGGGCCCCAGACACTATGCTTCCCAGCCTTAATGGCCTCTGCAATGCTGGTTCCTACTGCCCCACCCCTGGGTTCTGGCCGGCTAGCCCGCGCCACCTCACTGCTCCCCCATTCAAGTGTGCCTTAAATGTGTGGTTTCCAAACTCATCTACACTTTAGGGTCACCTGGGATTTTTTTTTAAATCTTCCAAAACCCAGGCCACACCCAAGAACAATTAAACCTCAACCTCTGGAATGGGACATAGCATCGTTTTTTGTTTTGTTTTAGAGACAGGGCCTCGCTCTGTTACCCAGGCTGGAGTGCAGTGGCACAATCATAGCTCATTACAGCCTCCAACTCCTGGGCTCAAGAAACCCTCCCACTTCAACCTCCACGGTAGCTGGGATCACAGGCGGGCATCACCACACCTGGCTAATTTTTAAATTTTTTATAGAGACAGTATCTCCCTATGTTCTCCAGGCTGGTCTCAAACTCCTGGGCTCAAGCGATACTCCCGCCTCAGCCTCCCAAACTGCTGGGATTATAGGCATGGGCCACCATGCCTGGACATCAGCATCTGTATTTTTTGAAGCACGGACGAGTTTGGGAACTACCGCGCTAGACTGAGCTCAGTTTCCTAGCCCTGTCTGACCATAGGTTTCGGCTGGGCTGCTTCTGAAAACAGAGCTCCCCAGGCTCCTTCCCAGGTAATTCTGATTCATTAGGTCTGGGGTGGGCCCCGGAATGTGCATTTTTTATGAGATCCCTCTGGGTGAATCAGGCTAAAGCCAGTTTGGGATCTGAGACCTTGGAGATCGTTCCCTAGCTTCCCTCTTAACCCAGTTCCCAGCTTGGCCTACCTCACCCAGGCTGTGTCACGTCTGACTTCGCAGATTACACCTGAGAGGGAAGCCCCAGCCATCACAACGTGAGAACCTTTTGCAATGACCAGGATATGCCAAATACATTTTAAAACTCATTCAGGATTAGCGTTCACCTTAAAATTGACAGACTCTGAGAATGGGCTGGCCACGTGCTGCGCACAACCCTTAGTGCTCTTCTGTGACTAATATTTGGATAATTGATTGTTGGAAGCTCAGGAAGCCTCTCTCTCTCAGAGGGGTCGAAGTTAACTTCTTTATTTCTGAGGTAGGGAAGAAAATGAGGATGTTCTGCCTTTTGCTAGACTGAATACTGTCCTCCAAAAATTCACATTCACCAGGAATCCCAGAATGTGACCTTATTAGAAAATAGGGGCAGGGCATGGTGGCTCATGCTTGTAATCTTAGCACTTTGGGAGGCTGAGGCAGGAGGATCACTTGAGGTCAGGAGCTCAAGACCAGCCTGGCTAGCATGGCAAAACCCTGTCTCTACTAAAAACAGAAAAATTAGCTAGGCATGGTGCATGCACCTGTAATCCCAGCTACTTCGGAGGCTGAGGCTGAAGAATCACTTGAACCCAGGAGGCAGAGTTGCAGCGAGCTGAGATTGCGTCACTGAACTCCAGCCTGGGCAACAGAACAAGACTCCATCTCAAAAAAAAAGAAAAGAAAATAGGGTCTCTGCAGATCTAATTACAAAGAGGTCATATTGGAATAGCGTGGACCTTAAATCGAGTAATAATGGCATCCTCATGGGAAGAGAAGAAGAGACAGAGACACACAGGGGAGAAGGCCACATGAGAATGAAGGAAGAGAATGGAATGATGTGGCCACAAGCCAAGGAATGCCAGCAACCACCAGAAGCCAGAAGAGGCAAGGAAGGATTCATCCCTAGAGCCTTCAGAGGGAGCACTGCCCTGCCCGTTTCAGACATCAAGCTTCTGGAACTGGAGAGAATGACTTTCTGTTGTCCTGAGCCACTCATGTGGGGAACTTTGTTAGAACAGTCACAGCCAGGTCATGTGCTCCTGGATGCATCTCAGGCATTAATAAGCACTGTCTTGGCCAGTCAGGGTGGCTCACCCCTGTAATCCCAGCACTTTGGGAGGCTGAGGTGGGTAGATCACCTGAGGTCAGGAGTTCGAGACCAGCCTGACCAACATGGAGAAACCCCATCTCTACTAAAAATACAAAAATTAGCTGGGCGTGGTGTTGTGCATCTGTAATCCCAGCTACTTGGGAGGCTGAGGCAAGAGAATCACTTGAACCCTGGAGGCAAAGGTTGCAGTGAGCCGAGATTGTGCCATTGCACTCCAGCCTGGGCAACAAGAGCGAAACTCCATCTCAAAAAAAAACATAATAAGTACTGTCTTGACTGTGGTCATCAAAAATATTTGATTAAGGGTTAGCTAGAAAGCCTGACCCTTTCACAGATGGACGGAAAGGCCAAAAGAAAATAGATTGTTTGCAGTGGGGCAAGAAGGATAAGAATCCTATGGAAAAAAAAAAAAAAAGAGGGATTTGTTTAGTGAGCGCTGGGGAGAGGCATTTGTTTTCTTGCTTAAAAAAGAAACACAGGTTGGGTGCGGTGGCTCAAGCCTTAATCCCAGCATTCTGGGAGGCCAAGGTGGGTCGATCACCTAAGGTCACGAGTTCGAGACCAGCCTGGCCAACACTGTGAAACCCCATCTCTACTAAAAAGACAAAAACAAAAGAAAAAGAAATTAGCCAGGCATGGTGGCGAGCGCCTGCAATCCCAGCTACTCGGGTGGCTGAGGCAGAGAATCACTTGAACCTGGGAGGCAGAGGTTGCAGTAAGCCAAGATGGCATCATTGCACTCCAGCCTAGGCAACAAGAGTGAAACTCTGTCTCAAACAAAAAAAAGAAAGAAAGAAAAAAAAACAGTTTTAAGTCCACTCAGTGGAGTTTAAAAATACATTCCCATTGCACAGTGCTTTTGGAATCTTTTCTAAACTTCTGTTGCACATGATCTAATTTGATCTTCATAGCAACTCCCTGAGGTGGATAGGGCAGGCCTTTCTGAACATCTATTTTCTAGTTTGCATTAAAAGAACGGAATTGGCTGGGACCAGTGGCTCATGCCTATAATCCCAGCACTTTGTGATACAGAAGGGAAGGGCTCAGAAGGGAAGAATGTGGTCCCTTTAAATGATATGGAAGTGAGGAAGGGAAGTACTGGGTAGAGGAGGGTGTGGTCCCTGGCTAGGGCTCCACTCCAGGGCCTGTGCCCACGGACCTAGGTGAGGACAGGCATTTTTGTTTTCCTGCCCAAATGTTGCATTTCCCAAGACCACCCTGGCTGCCACACCCCCATTCTGTGCCTATAAAAACCCTGAGACCCTAGCAGGCAGACACACAGGCAGCTGGACTTCGAGAGGAGCACATCAGCGGAGGAACACAAGGGTGTTGGACGTCAAGAGGAACGCACCAATGGGCACCAGCACACCGCAGGCCACTGACTGGCAGAACAACCCAGAGTTTGGCTGGGACAGTCGGAGGAGAGTCAGGCCACACACCCGACTCCAGCGGTAAACCATCTCCCTTCTGGCTCCCCCATCTGCTGACAGATACTTCCACTCAATAAAACCTTGCACTCTCAAGCCTGTAATCCCAGCACTTTGGGAGGCCGAGGCGGGCAGATCACGAGGTCAGGAGATCCAGACCATCCTGGCTAACAGAGTGAAACCCCATCTCTACTAAAAATACAAAAAAATTAGCCGGGCATGGTGGCGGGCACCTGTAGCCCCAGTTACTCGGGAGGCTGAGGCAGGAGAATGGGGTGAACCCAGGAGTCGGAGCTTGCAGTGAGCTGAGATCGCACCACTTCCGGTACACCAAGACAAGAACCCCGGGACAAAGAGAGCCCTCTGTCCTTGCAATAAGGCGGGGGTCTAATTGAGCCGACTAACACAAGCTACCTACAGACGGCTAAACTAAAAGAGCACCCTGTAACACACGCCCACTGGAGCTTCAACTATAAACATTCACCCCTGGACACGGCCATGGGGCTCCCTGCCTGTCTGCATGCTCCCCTAGAGGTTTGAGCAGTGGGGCACTGAAGAAGCAAACCACACCCGCATTGCATGCCCTTCGAGGGGGACAATGGAACTTTTCCCATCTCATCTGAGAGGCCAAGACAGGAGGATCACTTGAGCCCATGAGTTTGAGACCAGCCTGCACAACATAGCAAGACCCCATCTCTACAAAAAACAAGTAAACAAAAAAAAAAAAAAACATTAAAAATTAACGAGCTGTGGTGGCACACACCTGTAGTCTCAGCTACTCAGGAGGCTGATGTGGAAGGATTGCTTGAGCCCAGGAGGTTGAGGCTGCAGTGAGCCAAGATTGAACCACTGCACTCCAGACTGGGTGACAGAATGACACCCTGTTTCGACAACAACAAAAGGAATGGAACAAAATAACTTCTCAAATAGCTAGCAGAGGCAGATCTGGTTCTCAAATGCAGGTTTTCCAGGTTTCGATTCTTATTTCTAGCAGTATTATGGAGAAACATGATCACTAATACATGAAGGAGAGGAGGTTTCAAGTTCTGATAAAAAGATGGTAAAGAGAGGAGTTAGTTGACTAGGAGTGACTAGGAATGGGAAGAAAACGCATGACACCACTTAGAGGAAAGAAGAAAAATAAGCATAGAGGTGACTGAGCAGGCAGAAAGGACTAGGAATAAGCATGTCTGGCCCCGTCTCTGCATTTTTTTTCCCTTGCATTAGTAACTTCCCTGATGACTTGGATGAATCTTCTCTTCAGGGCATCTAGTGTTCCCTTTCTGTCCACTTCTCCTTTCCCAGGGCCCATACAGTCTGGGAAAGCATGCTCTGCAGGCTTCTCATATCTTTCCTTCCTTAATCAGCCCCTAGCATCTCTACATAACCCATATACACCTGGAGTTCCACATGTCCCAGTCTTTGCACTGCAGTGAATTCAAAGAATGGTAGACTCTAGCTGGGCACAGGGGCTCACACCTGTAATCCCAGCACTTTGGGGCGCTGAGGCAGATGGATCACTTGAGCCCAGGAGTTCAAGACCAGGTCTGGCCAACATGGTGAAACCCCACCTCTACTAAAAATACAAAAATTAGCTGGGCTTTGTGGTACATGCCCTGTAGTCCCAGCTACTGGGGAGGCTGAGGTGGAAGAATTGCTTGAACTCAGGAGGCAGAGGTTGCAGTGAGCTGAGATCATGCCACTGCACTCCAGCAGCCTGGGCAACAGAACAAGGCCCAGTCTCACCAGTCTCAAAAAAACACAAAGACAAAACTAAACCAAAAAAAAAAACAAAAAAAAAAAAACACGCACACACACACACACACACACACACAAAAAGGTAGACTCCAATAGGAAAAATTCACTCAAAAGCAATTCAAATATTCAGTCAACCCAGTTCTATCTCAGTTCTTTATTATATACATAAACTTATTCTGTCCAGATTCCCTAGTTTTCTTTTTCTTATCTTTGTTTTCTTTTGAGACAGGTCTTCACTCTGTCAGCCAGGCTGGAGTATAGTGGCACAATCATGGCTCACTGCAGCCTCAACCTCCTGGGCTGAAGTAGTTCTCCCACCTCAGCCTCCCAAGTAACCGGGACTACAGGTGCATGCCACCATGCTCCGTAAGTTTTTATATTTTTTGTAGAAATGGGGTCTCACTATGTGGGCCAGGCTCTTCTTGAACTCCTGGATTCAAGACGTCCACCTGCCTCAGCCTCCCAAAGTGCCAAGATTACAAGCATGAGCCACTGCATCTGGCTGATTCCTTTGTTTTCTTTTTCTCTTTGCCCATTGCCTGGATTCCATAAGCAGAAAGAAAACCCAGGGGCTGACTTTGTAGGCAAGACTCTTTTCTTTTCAAAACATAAATTGGTTCAAGTGGTACCAAAACTGAAACATGTTTACAACTTAACATCTTTTCTTCCTACCCCTTCAATCTCTTGAGCAATGAGAAAAGACACTGAGCTCTTTATTTGTGTAGGGAAAAGAGAGATCAAACTGTCACTGTGTCTATGTAGAAAAGAAAGACATAAGAGTCTCCATTTTGAAAAAGACCTGTACTTTAAACAATTGCTTTGCTGAGATGTTGTTCATTTGTAGCTTTGCCCCAGCCACTTTGACCCAACTTGGAGCTCACAAAAACATGTGTTGTATAAAATCTAGGTTTAGGGGATCTAGGGCTGTGCAGGATGTGACTTGTGAACAAAACGTTTACAAGCAGTATACTCGGTAAAAGTCATTGCCATTCTCTAGTCTCAATAAACCGAGGGCACAATGCACCGTGGAAAGCCGAAGGGACCTCTGCCTTTGAAAGCAGGGTATTGTCCAAGGTTTCTCCCCATGTGATAGTCTGAAATATGGCCTCGTGGAATGAGAAAGACCTGACTGTTCCCCAGCCTGACACCCGTAAAGGGTCTGTGCTGAGGTGGATTAGTAAAAGAGGAAAGCCTCTTGCAGTTGAGATGGAGGAAGGCCACTGTCTCCTGCTTGCCCCTGGGAACTGAATGTCTCAGTGTAAAACCCGATTGTACATTTGTTCAACTCTGAGATAGGAGAAAAGCTGCCCTGTGGCAGGAGGGGAGACATGTTTGCAGTAATGCTGCCTTGTTATTCTTTACTCCGCTGAGATGTTTGGGTGGAGAGAAACATAAATCTGGCCTACGTGCACGTCCAGTCATAGTACCTTCCCTTGAACTTAATTATGATACAGATTCCTTTGCTCACATGTTTTTTGTTGACCTTCTCCTTATTATCACACTGCTCTCCTACTACATTCCTTTCTGCTGAAATAATGAAAATCATGATCAACAAAAACTGAGGGAACTCAGAGGCCGGTGCCGGTGCAGGTCCTTGCTGTGCTGAGTGCCGGTCCCCTGGACCCACTGTTGTTTCTCTATACATTGTCTCTGTGTCTTCTTTTCTCCGTCTCTCATCCCACCCGACTAGAAATACCCACAAGTGTGGAGGGGCAGGCCAACCCTTCAATTTGGTGACACATAGCCTGTGCCCTCAAAGAACACTGACACCCCCGTAACATCCATTCGAAGAGCTTCTCCATACCTCCCCTCCTTTATCCCCAAGGACACTGGGTCAGAGATCACGGAGTCATTCACAACATGATGTTTAACACCGAGACGCTCTGCAATTGCTCCTTCAAAACGACTCAGAAGAAGATCCAGTGCTGAGACAATCGTGTTCTCTCTCTGGATCACTGCCCAGAGACAAGGACTGCCAGAGACCCTGGCTTCCCCAGCTGCTGCATCTCATTCCTGCGCCTGTGGGAGGAGAGTTCGAAGCTGTGTGACCTTGACCAAGTTACTTACCCTCTCTAAGCATATGTTTCCCTAAATGTGAAATAGGGATGATGGTGATGTGTTTATTTCACAGATTTGATAGAAGGATTAAATGAGAGATGCACCAAAAGCAGTGGGCACAGGGTCAATGCTCAGTGAGCTTTCTCTTTTCTTATCAATAGACAGGTCTTCATGAGGACAGAGACTGGCTTCATCTCGACTGTAGCCTCAGGGCTGGCCACGGTGTCTGCACCCAGCAGGACTTCAGTAAATATCTGTTTATACACTAACCTCAGACTTAGGCATAAAAGCCCTTTGGAAGAAAGTTGACCATTTCATGCACCTTCAGACTATGAAGAGCAGTGATGACAACTTTAGCTTGAGAGGGTCTCAGTGCCCATTCATCACCACTGTGAAAAGGCAGAAACCAGAGCTGTGTGCTTAACTCCCAGCCCCAAAACCTGTTGGCTTTGCTTTATCACTATGAGCTTCCAACGGCATCCCTTTAGAATGGGGCATCTCTCTTCTTCCCCAAGGCACCAGCCTTCACCCCAGACCTATCCTTATTAGCTGGTGTCTCCTCTCTGTACTCTGAGCCCATGCTGTGCTCGTCAGATAGCAACATGGGAGAATACAGCAGCCCAGAATGCAGGCTGCAGAGTTAGATCCCCAGAACAGGATCTCAGCCGGCTCCATCCTTCCTCAGCTGGGCGACCGTGGCCATTGACTTCCTCTCTGTGCCTGAGTTGCCCCATCTGTGAAATGAAGATTGTCATAGTCCCTGCTTCAGAGTCACTGGGAGGATTAACTGAGAAAATGCAGGGAAGGTGCTTGGAACTAAATGTTCAAAAAAAGTCCATCTGGCCAGGCACGGTGTCTCACGCCTGTAATCCCAGCACTTCGGGAGACCGAGGCAGGTGGATCACTTGAGGTCAGGAATTCAAGACCAGCCTGGTCAACATGGCAAAACCCCGACTCTACTAAAAATACAAAAATTAGCCAGGCATGGTGGCAGGCACCTGTAATCCCAGCTACTTGGGAGGCTGAGGCATGAGAATCTCTTGAACCTGGGAGGCAGAGGTTGCAGTGAGCCGAAATTGTGCCACTGCACTCCAGCATGGGCAACAAGAGCAAAACTCTGTCTCAAAAAAAAAAAAAAGTCCATCATTCTTATTAATGGAGGCCAAATCATCTCAGCGCTTCTTTGGATGATCAGTACCCTCCAAGCCAGTGTTATCCAATAGACCAGAGGTCCCCATCCCCCAGACCACAGACCAGTAGTGGTCTGTGGCCTGTTAGGAACTGGGCTGCACAGAAGGAGGTGAGCAGTGGGCTAGTGAGTGAAGCTTCATCTGTATTTACAGCTGCTCCCCATGGCTAGCATTACCGCCTGAGCTCTGCCTCTTGTTAGATCAGCAGCGGCATTAGATTCTGATAGGAGCACCAACCCTATTGTGAACTGCCTGTGGAAGGGATCTAGGTTGTGTGCTCCTTATGAGAATCTAATGCCTGATGATCTGTCACTGTCTCCCACCACCTGGAGAAGGGGTTATCTAGCTGCAGGAAAACAAGCGCAGGGCTCCCACTGATTCTACATTATGGTGAGTTGTATAATGATTTCATTATATATTATAATGTTAATAACAATAGAAACAAAGTACACAATAAATGTAATGCACTTGAATCATCCTGAAACTTCCCCCCACAAATACATGGAAACTGGTCCTTGGTGCTAAAAAAAATTGGGGACCACTGCAATAGACTATTCAGTCATGGTCCAATCAAACATTCTGCAATGGCGGACTTGCTCTACTCTGCACTATCCAACATGGGAGCTGCTAGACATCCACATGGGCTGATGAGCCCTTGAAATGTGGCTGGTGAGAATGAAGAACTGAATTTTCAATTTTCTCTTAACTAAATTTTTTTTTGAGACAGAGTCTCACTCTCTCCTCCAGGCTGGAATGCAGTGGTGCAATCTCGTCTCACTACAACCTCCATCTCCCAGGTTCAAGCAATTCTCCTGCTTCAGCCTCCTGAGTAGCCAGGATTACAAGAACCCACCATCATGCCCGGCTAATTTTTGTATTTTTGTAGAGACGAGATTTCACCATGTTGGCCAGGCTGATCTTGAACGCCTGACCTCAGGTGATCTGCCCAACTTGGCTTCCCAAAATGCTGGGATTACAGGTGTGCCACCATGCCCGGCCTTAATTCATTTCTAAATCACAAAATCTAAACAACGAGTGGCTAGGAGCTACCATAGTGTACAAGGCAGCTGTGGAATCACAGGAAATTGTCAATGACCCTGTCCTGCTTCAAGTTGACTTTTCCCCCTCATGGTGAGACTCTAGATTCTTTCCTCTTCTCTCACATTTTTTAGACTTTCAGGATTAGACCATGAAAATAAGTTCTGTCCTTCCAAGAAAATAACGTTCATAACACTTACTATATACCAGGCTGATTTCAGTGCTTTACATGTATTAATTTACAACAACTCTGAGGCAGGAGCTGTGATTACGCCCATTTAACAGATGACAAAACTGAGGCACAAAGCAGTGCTGGAACTTCTCAAAGTCACACAGGTAGCAGGAGGCAGAGCTCGGATTTGAACTCACTTTGGGTTCAGCAACTCACAGCTCTCACCTATGACATAATATTACTTCTGTTGTCAAAACACTTAGACCTGGATTTCACAGGAATCTTGTGCTTGCCTGGCTGCTAGGGAGGTTTTCATCATCTTCCTTATCTCACAGTTCAAAACCCAGGGCCTCCATGCTCTTGCTCTGGTGACCGTTCACTGGCAGGAGGCTTCTGGGAAGGTTCTCCTTTTCTGTCATTTTTCTTATTCGTGGTTTTTTGTTTCATTGGTGTTTATCTGCAGAACTTTGTTTCCTTCTGCTCAATTCATAATCAGAGTGCTTTTCCTCCTGGCTCAATTCATAAGTGTTTATGTAAAAAGAGGTTGGGCACAGAGCCAGGCGACTGAGGACACCCGGCTCATCTGGCAAGTGGATATCAAATTGTTGTATCTCGTTCTGCCATTCCCGGCTCCTGCTGTGGGGCTGGGTCATCTGCCAGCTCTCCAAGGAGCTGGTGGGAAACCACTGCAATCAGAGCGAACCGCTGCCCGGGTGAGCCCGCCTAGGCACAGCACTCCAGCTGCCCCCAGTGCCTTTTGGGGACACATCTGCATTGCCAGGTAGGGCTGTGGGAGGGTCGCCTGCCTCCTGTCCATCACAGGGAGAACCTACCCTTGTCCCGCGTCCCTTCCAGGCAGGCTGTGTGGGGATTGCTGAGTTCACCTTTAATATGGCTAAAATGTTTTCCTTCAATGACAGTAATGCTGCCAGAACCCATCAAGACACCCAGGAACTGATGTGCCTTGGCAGATGATGCTGGAAAGATGGGATTCCCGGCAGCCCTTGCATCTGTTGCTCACAGCCCACAAGCATCTCCACTGTCCAGCAGGTCAGGGCACGGTCTCTCTTTCTCTCTCTGATGGTCTCTCTCACGGTTTCTCTCTCTCACGGTCTCTCTCTCTCACGGTCTCCCTCACGGTCAGGGCAGAAAGAGAGAGAGTCCATCTGGAGCAGACTCACATTTTTAATGAGTGTCCCCGATAATTTAACATGATCGATGGCTGAGGTATTTCACCAAGTTCAGGAGTCCCAGTTCTCAGAGAGAGGAGCCAGCCATGACTGTAAGACCTGGGCAAACAGTACAAAGCAGACAGCAGGTCTCACCCCTCCCCAGAGAGCTCCAGAGAGTATCAAAGAGTGAAACAGCAGAGGGATGGTCTGGGTGGGGTCATCGTGGCTGGCAAGGGTCTGTGACAGCACCTTGTTAGGCTACTCCCAAGAGGAAATTTGGAGAGAGGGTGGGAGGGCAGCTCTCAGTGCAAGCTAAGTCTCCTGGAAAGTAACTTCCAAACTTTGGAGGATTGTGAGCAAGATGGGACCAGCAACTTCTACCTAAAAAATGTTCATAGCAAGATAACTCATCCTAATATTGGTCCAAGCTAGGTCTTTATTATAGATCATAAAGGCTCTGAGAATAACAATGTAACCTCCAAAAGGGCTGCGGGCTTTGAGGAATCTCAGGCAACTCGCTTCCTTCTGCTCAGTGACTCGCTTGGAGCACAGCAAAGCAAGGAAACACTTAGAGCCAAGCTTGAGTTCTGAATTTCAAATACAGGGAGTCCATCTCTTTCTACCCAATTGTTCCCTAGAATCAGTAACTAACTCCTTCCCCTTAACGGCACGTACTTCCTACCAAAGCACAAGTGCAATGGGCTGTCCATAGCCTCCCCAAAATATGTGCACCTTGTGATATAAATTCTGTCACCGAAAGAGACCAGACAAAATGCAAAACCAAAGTGGAGCCTTTCCTTGAATTATAGGTTCTAAAGAGTTTTGGACCCTCTACAAAACCCAAGAGTTAGGAATTGCCTGGAAGAAGCACAAGCCCTTGTTTTAAAGAGGCAGTTTAAGAATAATAGCCATGCTGATGCCACACTACGCTAAGGGAGAATAATGAACCTAATAAAACTATCGATTTTCCAATTGCTTTTGCTGCTGGAAACACTGATTATGCTAAATAAAGGGTAGAATAGTAAATAGCCACTCTTTTGCATCCAATTAAGTGTTCAGATTATTTCTCAGAAGTATTTGTTGAAAATAGCACTTCTGATAATCATGGGTCCCAAATAAACAGAGTCAATTGTGGTGTGGTTCATGTGTGAGTGTGTGTGTGTGCACACATGTGTCTTTCTGGAGCTCATTTTATGGAGATCCCCCATAGCTCCCCAAATTCCTATGAGATGAAATAAGAAAAATCACAGTTTCCTAAGACTACAGCTTGGGATATCTTTGGAAATGGTGTGTATTGAGAACACAGCATATGGAAACTATTTCATGTTGGCAATATCTGTGATTTAACATTGCAAACATTAGAAATGCAACTGGTTCTTCAGAGCCACCTAAGTCCCTCATAATGGCAATATTAACTTCTTCTAAATAATAAATTAGCCAGTCAAACTATGTTGTACAGAATGTTTGAAGTTTCATCCTTCTAGTCAATGTCACATTTCAAGGCAAAGTCGATTTATATGTAAGTTAAACAAAGTGCTGTCACTAAAAATTGAGAATTATGTCTAATGCCAATCAGAAATGGAATAAATAAGTATTAGAGGATTTGCAAGTTAAAGCAACCATAGAAATGCTATCATCAGGAAGGAAAATGTATTACCTGCAGAGGTTACACATAAGACGCTAGAACCCAGAAGAGAAAGAATCTCTGTAAATATTTCCATTAAGTTAATCAAGACAGGCTGGGTACGGTGGCTCATGCCTGTAATCCCAGGACTTTGGGAGGCCAAAGTGGGTGGATCACGAGGTCAGGAGTTCGAGACCAGCCTGGCCAACATGGTGAAACCCTGTCTCTATTTAAAATACAAAACATTAGCCGGGCGTGGTGGCATGCACCGGTAATCCCAGCTACCCAGGAGGCTGAGGCAGGAGAATTGTTTTAATCCAGAAGGCAGAGGTTGCAGCAAGCCATCACACCATTGCACTCCAGGCTGGGTGACAGATCACGGCTCCATTTTGGAAAAAAAAGGAAGTTAATCAGGGTGAGAATAGGATGAGTTTTTCACCCACAAAAGGAGATGAGATTCACGCATTCTTTCAACATGCATTCCATCAATAGTGAGCACCTGCTCTGAGCTAGGCCCGTTCTAGGTCCCAGGAAATGGGTAACCAACCAGACATGGCCCCTGATTTGGAGCTCATATTTTAGAGCAGCTAAATGGACAGTAAACAAGTAAGCAAATTAAGATCATCTTAAATTGGGGGAAGTTCTTTAGAGAAGCACTTCCATAAAGCTGAATCGTGTCATAGACTATGACTGCCAGGTGGTAGGGAAGGTAATATCTCACCTGCCTGTGGATAGCAGAGTTTCTGAGGCCTTGCAAAGTATTATTTTCTGTAGAGACAGGGTTTCACCATGTTGGCCATGCTGGTGTCGAACTCCTGACCTCAAGTGATCCACCTGCCTCGGCCTCCCAAAGTGCTGGTATTACAGGTGTGAGCCAACGTGCCTGGCAGAGGGCTTTCATTCTTGATGGACTGCTCCATAGCCTCAGAGACAGTCAGACTGGTTTCTTCAACCAGAGTGGAGCAAACAGGCAATTTCTGTATCGACCAGGACAAATATTAGACCAACTCTTCAATGTACAGAGAGCATCACATTTCTTATATGCTAGAATATCTGTTGGTCCAAAATATAAATAAATAGTGTTGTAGCCAGCCACAGTGGCTCACACCTATAATTCCAGAGCTTTGTGGGGCTGAGGCAGGAGGTTCACTTGAGGTCAAGAGTTCGAGACCAGCCTGGGCAACATAGAGAGACACCCCCACACCGCCACCTGCCATCTCTACAAAAATTAAAATAATTAGCTGGGCATACTAGTGTGGGCCTGTAGTCCCAACTACTTGGGAAGCTGATGTGGGTGGATCGCTTGAGCCCAGGAATTTCAGGCTGCAGTGGGCTATGACTGCATCACTGTACTCCAGCTAGAACTTGTCTCAAAAAAAAAAAAAAAGTGCTGCAATTGACATTACTTTATCATTTGAAAAGAGGGACAGACAAGAAAGGTATTTGGCATTTACCAAGCAATTACCCAGAATCCTCATCCCATCCTACCCCCACCCTTCCCCTAAAAATGTATGTATATGTTTTTATACCATAAAAAATACATCTCTTTGGCTCTGGAACCAGATTGCTTGGGTTCAATTACCTGATCTAGCATTTGCTCCTGATGACTCAGTGCAGAAAAGCTCTGTAACTCAGTTTCCCCAGCTGTAAAATGGGGAATGGCGCCTTTACTGGGCTGCCATGAGGGTAAAGGAGGGAACGTATATTTATGAAGCATTCAGAACAATTCATGATACATAGTAAGCTCTATATATTTGAGCTTATTATTACTGTCAGTACGATTATCATCATCTTGCTGTTTCCAATGGGTACGATTTCTACATTCTCTTTCTTAAAGACCTTTAAATCCTTGGTATTCTCTCCACCACCACAGAGAGCAGTGTCCTTGTAGTTTAAATTTGCAAAGACTTCATGGATCCAATAAGCATGACATTAACTAAGGGACAGTTTTCTTTCAGTGGATTGGAATCTAAAATGGCTTTTTTATTGTTATTATTGGCCAGGCTGGTCTCGAACTCCTGACTTCAAGTGATCCCCCCACCTCACCCTCCCAAAGTGTGCTGAGATTACAGGCATGAGCCACCATGCCCAGCCCTCATTCTCTTCTTTTATAAGGACACCAGTCATTGCATCTGCCCCCTCACCAGCAGCCCCCAATCCAGGATGACTCATCGTTACTTGATTACATCTAGAAAGACCATATTTCCAAATAAGGTCACATTCCTGGGTACCGAGGATTAAGATTTCCAATTTTTTCCCTGACTCAATTTTTTTTTGAGTCAGGGCCTCACCCTGTCACCCAGGCTGGAGTACAGTTATGTGATTATAGCTCACTGCAGCCTCAAACTCCTGGGCTCAAGGGATCCCCTGACCTCAGCCTTCCAAGTGGCTGAGACTACAGGAGCACACCATCATGCCCAACTAATTTTTTTGTTTTTTTGTGTTTTTTTTTTTTTCTACAGGTTAGGTCTCACTCTGTTGACCATGCTGGTCTGACCTCAAGCGATCCTCTTGCCTTGGCCTCCCAAAGCACTGGGATTACAGGCGTTATCCCATGCCTGGCCCTCTTTCTACATCTCAATCATTGTATCATTAGCCTGAGCTGCCCATAGTCCTTATTCTGCCCAACCCTGGCCAACCTCCTCCTTTAACATAACTTCCATCTCGATATGATGGGGCCTGCTGGGCACTGCAAACAGCCTAAGGAAAGTGGAAACTTTACTTAACCTTAAATTCTATTACAAAGTCTACATTGAACGTAATTTATATTTGAACTATAAAAATTTTCTGTAAGTTGACACATGACCTATAAAGGACTCTACACCCTGAAGCAACGTTTTAGAAAGAAATTAATTGGTCCTTTTCTGCAGAAACCATTAACCATAGGAGAGATAAAGGAAAAACTTCAATGTACTGATTGAACTTCCATGCCCATAGCTTAACTTCTAAAAGGCAACCATTCCATACTGTTAAACTGACTTAGGTTGCTATTACTGTTATTAAAGAGACCCTCAAAGCCAGAAGTTGAATCTTGACTGTAGTTCTTGCACGTACACGCACACTCTTGCAACTGAAACCACTCAGATTGTCCTAATGCTGCTCCCCATAGCAACATCACCTGGAATTTTACGTTTGTTTTTAAGCATCATTCGTAATCTTTACTTGCAACTGAACACACCGCACCTGTGAGAGCCACGTGACATTAAAAAAATCCCTTCAGTGAGGCCAGGCATGGTGGCTCACTCCTGTAATCCCAGCCCTTTGGGAGGCCAAGGCAGGTGGATCATGATGTCAAGAGATTGAGACCATCCTGGCCAACATGGTAAAACCCAGTCTCTACTAAAAATACAAAAATTAGCTGGGCGTGGTGACGCGTGCCTGTACTCCCAGCTACTCGAGAGGCTGACGCAGGAGAATTGCTTGAGCCCGGGAGGCAGAGGTTGCAGTGAGCCGAGATTGGGCCACTGCACTCCAGCCTGGCAACAGAGGGAGACTGCCTGAAACAAAAAAATCCCTTCAGTGCCTTGATCCTTCCAGATTCAGATCCAAGAGAGATGACATTTGTCCCTCACCAGAGACTGCACACCAAGATAAAGATTTCTTCTGGCCAGGCGTGGTGGCTCACGCCTGTAATCCCAGCAATTTGGGAGGCAGAGGTGGGTGAATCACCTGAGGTCAGGAATTTGAGACCAGCCTGGCCAACGTGTTCAAACCCCGTCTCTACTAAAAATACAAAAATGGCCCGGCATAGTGGCTCTCGCCTGTAATCCCAGCTACTCAGGAGGCTGAGGCAGGAGAATCGCTTGAACCTGGGAGGTGGAGGTTGCAGTGAGCCGAGATCGCGCCATTGCACTCCAGCCTGGGCAACAAGAGAGCAAAACTCCATCTCCAAAAAAAAAAGAAAAAAAGATTTCTTCTGTGTGCATGGCTCAGCTCTGTGGTCCACTAGCGTCCTTCTTCAATCCGTTTCCAATCTATGGAATCAGGAAAGACTGAACCAACCTAGATTAATATTTTAGTATAACATAATACAGTGTTATTTACTATGGCATTGACCGTATATGCCCTTTTGCTCCTTGGAGGAAAGACAATTAATAGCTATTATGTGAGTTAATAAAATAAGCCCAGGATTTCTGAGTATAACTAACCTGTTCCCATTGATTTTCCTTGTCTCCTGCAGGCAGAGAGCTGATCAAAACAGCAAAAGCAAAGCAGTGCCCCTGGCCCAGTTCTGAAGCCAACCTTCCTTAATCACCCAGACCCATCCCTGGTTAGGACTTGCTGTGGATTCTCACGTGACTCCATCTCAGGCTACAGGGACTGAGAGGGTGTATGCAACATCTCAGACCCAGAAACCGTTGATTCTGCCTAAAAACACAGCAATAACCACATCTCATCCTCTTGATTTAAATGAAAGGGTATGGGGGAATAAAAGATGAACCTTTTTTTTTCTTTGTCAGATCTTGCGCTCATTTGGTTCTGGTGGGGAACAACAGCTATAAGAGAACAAGTGTATTCAATTAGAATTAATTCCCCCTCTTATTCTCATAGCTGAGCAGGGCTCAAGTGCCTCTCATCTGAAAGAGGTAATAAGATTTAATCTGTCTCCTCATCTACCTTCTGCAAGTATACTTAACAAATTAGCTCTCGGGACTCTTCCAAATGGAGTTTTATGAGGAATTTGCTAAGGTAAACGTTTTAGACTTTGAACACAGTTCAGATTTCAGGGACAGTACTGAAATCTGAACTGTGTTGCTAACTGCCCTGCCTTTCAACTCAAGACACAATAACTTTGAACTAAAATAATTATATTTTTGTTGTTTTCCACTCTGTCCCCACGTCTATATCACCACAACCCCCAATCCCACCCCGCAGGAGCTAACTCCTCCTTCCTGTCCCCGCAAGATCAAAACTCCTCCTGCAAGCCCCGCTAGCTCTGTCTGCTCACCTTCGTGGCAGATATGCTATTGTACTTTTACACTCATTTGTGTGATAAATACTTCAATGTCCACTTCTTCCACGAGCCCCTGAGCCCCTGGAGGGCCTGGACAACACCGAGTTTTTCTCACCGTTACATCTCCGTTGTCAGGCACTTAATAAGTATTTGGTGAACGAATGGCTTGTTTGGTGACACTCCAAAGGCTGGGGGACAGAGGTAAAGCTCCCTCCTTTTGGGCCCCAGACGGGTGGCGCTGATGGAGAGAGGAGGCTAGGATAAGGCCTCCAGGACCGAAGCGCGCACCCGTAAGGCCCCTGCTAAAAAGACCTTCCTGAAGGCGGAGGAACTGCGAGTGCCTACGTTAGCCCAAGGCCTGACCTGACGATCCCAGGGACCCTCGCTCTAACTGGCCCCGCCTCCCGGGCCCCAAACCCGGACTCGGCCCCGCCCGAAGCTCCGGATCCTGGGGCCCGCCCCTGGCCCCGCGTCGGCAGACCGTGGGCTCGCTCCTGGACCTGCCTCAAACCCTCCGCAGGTAACGCCTCCCGAACTTGAGCCACATTCCGATCCCCTCCTCAAACCCCTCCCCGTTTCCCACACCCTGGACCCCTCGCTCCGTCTCGGCCCCGCCCCAAGCCCAGCTAGGTCTGGGCCCCTGAGCCCAGCCCCGACCGGCCTCCCAGTCCCTGGGTCCCTCCCGACACCGGCCCCTCCCTAAGCTCCGCCTCCCAGGGCCCGCCTCCTGAGCGCAGCCCGCAGCCTGGACTCCGCCCCGCCTCCCGGACCCTGGGCCCCTCCCCACGTGGGCCCGTCCTAAGCTCCGCCTCCCAGAGTCCGCGCACCGCCTGGCCATGTGCTAAGACATAGTCAACGCCCCGCCCCGGCCCCGCCTCCTGAGCCCTTCTCTGGGTCTGGCCTTAGCCCCGCCCTAGGACCTGTCTCCTGGGCTCTGCTCCGAGTCCCGCCTCCTGAACCCAATGGCGTTTATCCCCGCCCTAATGCCCGCCTCCAGGACTCTTATCCTGCCCTCACGCAAGGCACCGCCTCCAGGACGCCACCAACCTGGACGCTTCCGAAGCCCAGCTTCCAGGATCGCCCTATCCTGGCCCCGCCCCAGGACCCGCCAACCTGGAATCTACCCAGGACCTGCCCCAACGACGTTAATTCTGGCCCTACCCCAGGCCTCGCTCTCATGACGCTCATCCTGGCCCCACCCCAGGCCCCACCCTCCTAAGCTCATCTTGGCCCCGCCCTAGCGCCCGCCCCCAGGACGCTCCTCCTGACCCTACCCCTAGGCCCCGCCACCTCTCTGCCTCCGCGCACTACCCTGGGCCCGCCCCCTTTTCAGTCCAGGCCCGGCTTCCGCCCGGTCTCCTGGCAACGCTGCGGCCCCGCCCACGTCATGGCGCCTGAGGAGAACGCGGGTACCAAACTCTTGCTGCAGAGTTTCGAGCGCCGCTTCCTAGCGGCGCGCACACTGCGCTCCTTCCCCTGGCAGGTGGGCGGCGGGGCGAGCGGAGAGGCCTGCGGGGCTTGCGGAAGTCCAGGGGCAGACGGGATGGGTCTCCCTGCTGAAACCCCCGGCGCTCCTGCCACGTGAGTTCCTGGGCTCTCCCCGGTCAGGGCCACGAGACCCGGTCCCCGTCCCTGGGGCCTGGCCAGAGTCGCTCTCACCCCTCCTGCCCCGCGAGCTGGCGGCGGAAGCTGGGGGCGTCTCCACAGTCTTGGGGGGCAGACGCGCGCTCGGTGTGGGGTACAGTTCACGATCATTTTCATGACTTTTTAAAGGCAGTAATCGTTCTGGTCACTGGGACACAGCTGCCCTCGCCCATTCTAAAAAGTCAGCACCCTCAGGCCCGCGGGTAACCACCTCCTCCTGAGCACGGTGACCAGGTCAAAGGCTGTCCCTCGGGCCTCAGTGTTCTCATCTGTATGTCGAGCACTGCACAGAATCAGCTCATGCGCTGAGGCTTTCACTCCTGTGATGGAAGAGACAGAGAAGGGGGTGGCCTCTCCTCTCCCTGGGGACCTGCCATTCTCAGCACAGGCGCATGGCAGGCAGCAGCCTCCCTTCTGCCAGCAGAGGGGCTTAATGCACCCTGCTCCATTTGTAATTCATGTGCGGTGAGCTCACTGGGATGAGTCAGTTTGGATATATATTCCTCCCTGGGTCTGCCCCATTTTATGGGGTGTTGCTTAATCATTTGCGTTATTCCATTGACATGAAATATTTAGCACTCAGAGATCATTTCTGGTCAGGAGAAATTTGTGCATTTTTAACCCAAAATAGAAACCTTCATAAAAGCATCATAGGTCTCCATTCAGTATTGACTATAATTGTTCACATGCCCACGCTGAATGCTAACTTGGGCTCACCATCAACACCCACGAGGTGGGTACTATTATTATCACTCACATTTGACCAGAGGGATTGTTTGATTAGGGTGTAGTAGTTGAGAGTTCAGACCCAGGAGACAGCCTGCCTGCTTCAAATCCTGGCCCAACCCCTGGCCCTGTGTGACCTTGGGCAAGTGACTGCATCTCTCTGTGCTGTTGTTTTCTTATTAATAAAATGGTTGATATAATGATACCTACCTCTTAGGGTTGTTGTCAGCGTTGAGTACAAAAGCCTGTGGATCAGTGCCTGGCTCATGGCAAATGCATGTCGGTGTTAGCTAGTGTTTTTATTCAGTCTCAAAATGTTTAATAAATGCCTTCCGTGAGCCAAGCACCATGGATCAGCAGTACCCATGATAGATGAGGCTCTGCTTGCATGGGAGAGCTAGAGAATAAACAAATAAATGAATAAACAAGAAAAGACCAGATGAGAGTGGCTTTAAAGCCAAGAAAACAGGGGAATGGTGAATGGACCAACTGGGAAGAAGAGTCACTAAAGTCGGGGAATCAGGGAAGCCTTCCCCAAAGACGTGGCATTTGAACTGGGGCCTGAGTGGTGAAGCAGCCAGCCATGGGAAGGGTTTGGGGAACAGGATATGCAAAGGCCCTGTGGTGGAAACAAGCCAGCTGTGGTTGAGGAACAACAGCAATGCAGCCAGTGTGGCTGGAGTGGAGTGAGCAGTGTGGGCCAGGGGTGAGGGAGAACAGGCCAGAGAGAGGGATTAGGACCAGGTCTTGTAGGGCCTTTTATGGCATGGAAGGAGCTCTGAAGCAATGAAGTGCCTTGCTGTGTGTCACATACCAGCCGAGACAGTCTGCCTAACTCGGGAGCCAAAGCTTGCTGCTGGACTTGCCACTGTAAGAGGACAATGTAACCCAGGCTGGTATGGGCACATTCTGCATTTCCACTTAAACTCAGATGGCAAGCCCATCAAACCTTGGTGCCATGGCTGCCCTGGTAATTCCTGGCTGACCAGTGCAACCAGGGAGCTGGCCCATGACCCGGGTGGCCGCTAAGTAGCCAGGACTAATGCGGCCAAGAGTCAGCCTTCTTCCTGTGACTCATCCAGGTGCACCCTGCGACATCTGAAGGTCAGGCTTTCAGCCGCTGTGGCTTCCACTTCCAACTGGCTCCGCGTCCCCAGGGAGGGATCACATAGCGCTTTGCCAACACATTCTATTGCGTGTTTTAATGTTCCTGTGAATGCGCCCTTGAGATTTCTCTCTCTCCCGTCCACACGGAGCTTAGAAGCAAAATTAAGAGACTCATCAGATTCTGAGCTGCTGCGGGATATTTTGCAGAAGGTAAGAATTCCAGAGTCCCTGGGACTCATGACCCTGCCTCCTGAATCTCTCCGGAAGACCTGAGAGAAGAACCACAGGTTCTTTAAAAACACCCCTGTTCAAAGAACAAAACCATTGAGTCAGCACTGCAGGTAGGTGTCAGCACCTCCGACAGCTCCTGCGCTTTTGTTTTCTATCTAAGACTTAGACAAAGACATCAGAATATACAAAAATCTGCATGAGGGGGGAAATCTAGGGAATGTTTTTTAAACTATCCTCAGCAAAAACAGAGATGACAGGTGCAAAACAGCTTCTAGCATTTGGTGGATGCTCAGAGACTTTCTTTTTTGCATTCCTGAGGCCTGTCCTGCCCACTCCTGTCTCCTCTAGACCTAAATGGGCCCTTGCTTTGCCCAGGGTGGGGTTTGGACTCAAGTGCATCTGCATGCAGGTGACAGCCAGGATCACCACCCGGCCCAGCCACAGCGTGACCTTGGCCTTGAGGGCCAAGTGCAGATCACCCTGCATCCTGGGTCTTCACCTTCGAAGGGCCATGAGCCCTTCAGAAAAGACAAAGCAATAGACTCCCTCCCAGAAAGAAGTGCACCAGAAGAATACATTTTCCATACAAACTCAGGGGAGGCAGACATCCTCCACCCCCACCCACCCAGCCCATCCTAGGAGCCCCAGTGAAGAATTCCTGTGCTAGAGGTGAACCAAGATGATCCACTTGGAAAAGATGCAGCCACAGCAGGGAAGACTTTCGGGGCAATACAGTAGGTCAGGGCTTCGAGCATGGAGATACCTGAAGTTATCTCGCACCCTGCTCTGAGTTTCACCCTGAGCCTCACTCTCGTAGGTGGTGAAGCATGAAATGTAGGGAGAGCTGCTTTAAAACCCAGCACAAGGCTGGGTGCACTGGTTCACACCTGTAATCCCAGGACATTGGGAGGCTGAGGTGGACGGATCACCTAAGGTCAGGAGTTCAAGACCAGCCTAGCCAACATGGCAAAAACCCATCTCTACTAAAAATTTAAAAAATTAGCTGGGCGTGGTGGTGCACGCCTATAGTCCCAGCTACTTGGGAGGCTGAGGCAGGAGAATCGCTTGAACCCAGGAGGCGGAGGCTGCGGTTAGCCAAGATCGGGCCACTGCACTCCAGCCTGGGCAACAGAGAGAGACTGTGTCAGAAAAAATGAAAAACCAGCACCAGCATGAAGAGCCTGTGTATTGCATGGGGTACTTTGCTGCCCTTGGGCAGAATCTGCATCCCTCCCAGCCAGCAGGCACTGCGGACTGTCTCCTCCCTCTCCCTCCAGGCTCCTGTTTTCCCACCGTCCCCACTCCTGCTGCACCAGTGCATCTGCCCTCCTTTCCAAGTGCCAGCCTGTGGCCACCTCAGAGCTTGCACCAGCTGTTCCCACTGCCTGGAACTTGCTCATCCTGCACTTGGCTTCTCTCGGCTTTAGCTGGAGTGTCACCCTGAGCGTCCCCTCCCCTCCATCCTGTCCCCAGGGACACACACTCCAAGAGAGCAGTTGCCGAGTGGGCCTTCCCGCCTCTTCCATAGAGCCAGACAGTTGGCGACTGTCCTTACTGCAAGCCCTGGTTCACACTGGCTCCCCTGGGAGGGAGGTGGTTTAGGCCCACGTGCCCTGTGTTCCTGCTCAGAATGGGCATTAGAAATGCTGCAATATCCTGTGCCACTGCAGTGGAAGCATCTTTAGGAAACGGCTTATATCTTAAGACAAACTTCAGATGCGTGGGGCCAGAACGCCGTGTCCATCTACATCTTTGCTGAGGGATCGGGTAGCCTGGAGTTTGCCCTCTGCTGTGTTGGCTTGAAGCTCATAGGAGACTTAAGACGGGCTCTCGAGCAACCAACGTTCTGTCCTTTGCTGTAGACTGTGAAGCATCCTGTGTGTGTGAAGCACCCGCCATCAGTCAAGTGTGCCCAGTGCTTTCTCTCAGAACTCATCAAAAATGTCAGCAATGGGCAGTGTCCGCCCAGTAGCTGGACAGCATAGCCACCTGCGTGCTGGAGCCCCCGTCCTTCCCAGGCCCTGGGCCTGCTTTGCCAATACCAGCATGGCAGGGGCCTCCCCAGGCAACTGGCTGCAGCTGAGTGTGACCCATGGGAGACAGTGCAGGGCAGGAAGAAGGGGAGACCAGCGTCTCTCCCTCACTCTGCCTCATGGGGTTTCCACAGCAGCTGCTTCTCTGGGGCCCCAGCTCCTAGAATATGAATTCTCATTCCTACCAGGCTGGTCCAGCCCACAGCACTGGAACCCTCATCCACACCCTCTGTCCTGCCCGCTGAAGGGTTTGGAGTTTCCTGCTCTTGTCTGTCTCTGGGTTGCCCCACAGGCCCCTGTTGGAAGATTTAGCTCTTGCCATACCTTTGGAACTAGTTCCTCTGTGAATTCTCTGCATTGATCCTGCTGGAATGAGCTCTTTCCTGACTGATACAGGATGGATTTTATTTTTTACTTATTTATTTAGTTTTTTGAGACAGTCTCACTGTGGTGCCCAGGCTGGATTACCGTGGCACAATCTCGGCTCACTGAAACCTCTACCTCCTGGGTTCAAGCAACTCTCGTGCCTAAGAAGCTGGGACTACAGGCACACGCCACCATGCCTGGCTAATTTTTGTATTTTTAGTAGAGATAGAGTTTCACCATGTTGGCCAGGCTGGTCTCGAACTCCTGACCTCAGGTGATCCGCCTGCCTCAGCCTCCCAAAGTGCTGGGATTACAGGCATGAGCCACCACACCTGGCCTAGGATGGATTTTAAAGATGGGCCCAAACATGCAGGGTTTGACATGAGGATGTCGAGAGGCCGTTCCTTAGTAGGCAGTAGCAGACCTGCTGAGTGAAAGGGCCACACTTTTAGCAAATAAACAATCCCCTGCTTCTCCAATACCTGCTTTCTCCCTAGTCCTCCCCAAAAGCGTGCATCTGTGTTCACCAGCAGGTCTGCCCTGTGCCACCAGGAGAGGGCAGCAGTCACCCAGTGTACCCTGCTGCTGCCCTGTGAATCCTAGGATGGGACCAGCTGTGGAGAAGCAGCCTGCTGACAGCCACAGCCTGCAGCATGGGCCGCCCTCACAGTTCTGCCTGGGCTCACTTAAAAGCACCTTTTGTTTTCCTCCTCTCTGTTTGATCCAAACACAGAGCTCTCTGTCATGGTCACGTGGCAGCTCTCACGGAATCCTTGTTTCCTTCCCTAGACTACACCTAACCCTAACCTCTCAACACCTCTTGTTGAAGGCCCTCCCATCCAGGTTGCCCTACCAAGTGAAATTTTTTTTAGAGACAAGGTCTCTTGCCCAGGCTGTCCTCGAACTCCTGGGCTCAAGCAGTCCTCCCGTGTCAGCCTCTAGATTAGCTGGGACTATTCGGCACACACCACCACACCCAACGAAGTGAGTATTTTATATGCCAGCTGGCTGGTATTACACCATTCCATCCCAAATCTCCCCTCCAAACTTGGTGAAAATCATCTGACCATTTTTACAGATTAGAACGAAAGCAAACAAGCTCTCACTCTGTCTGCCCCCAGCACGAGGCTGTCCACACGGAGCTTTTGGACGAGCTGTACGAGGCGCTGGCAGAGACCCTGATGGCCAAGGAGTCCACCCAGGGCCACTGGAGCTATTTGCTGGTATGAGAAGGGCACCCTCCTCCCCCTCACAGCCCAGATACCCTTCCTGCACAGACAAAGTGAAAACGTGGGTGTGGGTTCAAATCCTGACTCACCCATTCTGCAGTCTTAGACATGAGGTCCGTTAACCTTCTTTAGCCTCAGTTTCCCTGTCTGTAAATCAAGCACTTCAACAACAACAGCATGTCTCGTGGGGTTGTTGGGTATTTGTCCAATAGGTGACACACACTACCTGCTTCACAAGGACCTGGTGCCCAGTCCTCAAAGAATATTTGACAGGGCTGGACATGGTGGCTCACGCCTGTAATCCCAGCACTTTGGGAGGCCGAGGCGGGTGGATCTGAGGTCAAGAGTTCGAGACCAGCCTGGCCGATATGGTGAAACCCTATCTCTACTAAAAATACAAAAATTAGGCCAGGCGTGGTGGCTCATGCCTGTAATCCCAGCATTTTGGGAGGCTGAGGCGGGGGGATCACCTGAGGTCAGGAGTTTGAGACCAGCTTGGCCAACATGGTGAAACTCCATCTTTACTAAAAATACAAAAATTAGCGGGGTGTGGTAGTGGGCGCCTGTAATCCCAGCTACTCAGGAGGCTGAGGCAGGAGAATCTCTTGAACCCAGGAGGTGGAGGTTGTAGTGAGCCGAGATCACGCTATTGCACCACGGCCTTGGCAATGAGAGCGAATCTTTGTCTCAAAAAAAAGTACAAAAATTAGCCGGACATGGTGGCACACACCTGTAGTCACGGCTACTTGGGCTGCTGAGGCAGGAGAATTGCTTGAACCCAGGAGGCAGAGGTTGCAGTGAGCCAAGATCATGCCACTGACTCCAGCCTGGGTGACAGAGCTCAAAAAAAAATAAGATAAAGCATAGATACAGAAAACCACAAAGGAAAAACATAGCATATTGAATCATCACAAGGCAGCCACCCCTTCATAGCCACACCTGGCCCCTGGCCACCACTGACCTGTGCTCCATCGCCAGAATTCCGTTGTCTCAGGAATGTTCGATGAATGGAATCCTGTGTGGCCTGAGATGAGTGTCTTTCATGCCGCGTGACACCCTTGAGGCCCGTGCAAGCTGTTGGTATGTCAACAGTTAGCTGCTTCTCATTGCTGAGTGGCGATTGGTCCTGTCATGGTTTATTCAGCCATGTGGCGGATGGCTACTTGTCTTCTAAGCCACTTGTTTTCTGATTGCTGGACTTACTGTCTCACCCTCTCTTGGTACAGCCCTCGGAAGGCTCGGTCACACTCTCCGAGCACAGCCATCATCTCCCACGGTACCACAGGCCTGGTCACATGGGACGCTGCCCGCTACCTTGCAGAATGGGCCATCAAGAACCTGGCAGCCTTCACTAACAGGTGACCTCGGGGCACAGGGCAGCCGCCATCTACCTTGCAGAATGGGTCATTGAGAACCTGGCAGCCTTCACTAACAGGTGACCTCGGGGCACAGGGCAGGGCACCGAGGCAGGCTTACCCTGGTGCAGTCGAAGACACGGTCCCCTTTCCTCCCGCCAGGACTGTCCTAGAGCTTGGCAGTGGCGCCGGCCTTACAGGCCTGTCCATCTGCAAGATGTGCCACCCCCGGACATACATCTTCAGCGACTGTCACAGCCGGGTCCTCGAGCAGCTCCGAGGGAATGTCCTTCTCAATGGCCTCTCATTAGAGGCAGACATCACTGCCAACTTAGATAGCCCCAGGGTGACAGTGGCCCAGCTGGACTGGGATGTAGCGACGGTCCATCAGCTCTCTGCCTTCCAGCCAGATGTTGTCATTACAGCAGGTAATGCCCAGCCCCGGGCATCCTGTGCAGGCGGTGTCCTTGCAGCTCTACCCAGCTCTTGGCTCTGGGAAAAGGGAACAGTGGATGCTGTCGGGCATGGACATGATGGGGCTTCCAGAAGAGTTACTCCGGGCCTCCAGGGGGACATCAAAGGACAGGGGTGCCTCTTAAGGTGACCTTCAAGCCACAGCCCTCTTGTTGGAGACAGGCATACTCCCGTTACAGTCGTCACCACACGGCTCTGTTCCAGAGCCATGCCCTGTGTCCTTCAGAGACCACAGGAGGAAAACAACCACTTCTGGGATGAGGACAGGGCCCTTGGGAGAAGGTGGTGTTTGGCTGGGCCACCAAAAACCCCTCACCCCTGCCAGCACACTCAGTCCCCTCTCTGGTGGAACAGAGCTCTGCCTGTGGTCCTGGGTCCCAGCCCTGAAACCCACAGGTCCAGCGGTGGCCAGGGACAGAGGCCCACCCCTGCAAGCCAGCAGACCAATCGGCAGACACCTGAAACACGAAGTTCACGGTAGGGTCAGGCTTTCTGCCATTCAAAGCCCTCTAGATAGGCCCAGAACCAGAGCTGGTTTTTTAAGGAACACCAGTGAGTCTGGAGATTTTTTTCTTTTGCTTCGGTCTTTTGCAGCTTTCTCTACTAAGGGTTCTCCTTTTTCACCCAAGTAATTGCCCTTCCATCTAATGGCCCAAATGGTCAAATGGCATCTAATAGTCTCATATGAACGCTGCCTCTCTGGCCTCACCCTGCTGCTGAGGTCAGCATGAACTGGAACTTTCCACTTGTCCCTTTCAGTAACCTGAAGCTTTCACCGTAGACGTGCTGTATTGCCCAGAAGCCATCGTGTCCCTGGTCGGGGTCCTGCGGAGGCTGGCTGCCTGCTGGGAGCACCAGCGGGCTCCTGAGGTCTACATGGCCTTTACCGTCCGCAACCCAGAGACGTGCCAGGTGTTCACCACCGAGCTAGGTGAGCCCCCACGCCCACCCGGGCCTGCATGGTCCCCGAGCTGTCCCTGCAGGACTCCAGTGGAAGTGAAAGAACTGGGTGCCAGCAAAAAGCTAGGATGCCCCACACTCCCACACCATGCGGGGAACTCGGGCAGAGGCCGGTGAGCAGGGTGGGCTTGGGGCGTGGGGGGCTTGCGGCAGGAGGAGGGCAGCTCAGCACAGGGCGGGAGGGTCTGAGCCCAGCAGCCCTACTATGTGCCTCAGAGCAGGTTTCCCTAAGCCCTTGGGCCTCGGTTTCCTCATCTATAAAATGGAGGTGGTGGGAGGGGCAGTCGGGGTCAGGGCTGGACACAGCTGTGGCCTGCAGGATGCTGGAGCACAGGCTGTACAGGCGGATCCACCACGCCACTGTCCTGAGCACCCAGTTGATGGAAGACGAGCAGGGTGACTATAGAGAAGGGCAACTGGCCCCGTAGTGGGCCAGCCACTGTCCTGAGACCTGACATTGGTCAGCCCCCAGCACCTGTGAGGGTGTTCTGTCATTGTCCCATCTCACCGACAAAAACACTAGGACACACAGAGGCCAAGAGACCCCCGAGCTCCCGCAGACTGCAGCCCGGCCACCTGGCTCTAGTGCCTCCACACTACACCCAAGCCCCCCATTGCCACCAGACTCTGCCCCAGCTCCCCCTGAGCACAGCCCCTCCTGGCAGCCATGTGCAAAGATGCACCCGCAGCAGCCTCTGCCTGCACACAGAGACATGGACGACCCAGTGCCTGTCCACGTGGGGCAGCCCGTTAACTACAGAGCCAACAAACAAGCCAGCACGCGAAGACATACTGGGTTCCATGACAGAGTCCCGCACAACCTCGCACAGGAGGCTGGCCAGGCGTGGGGCTCAGGCCTGTCATCTCAGCACTTTAGGAGGCTAAGGCAGGAGGACTACTTGACCCCAGGTGTTCAAGACCAACCTGGGCCACATAGTGGGACCCCATCTTCACAAAACATACAGAAACTAGCCAGATGTGGTTGGACATGCCTGTAGTCCCAGCTACTCGGGAAGCTGAGGTGGGAGGATGGCTTGAGCCCACGAGGTGGAGGCTGCAGTGAGCCCTGATCTCACCACTGCACTCCAGCGTGGGCAACAAAGCAAGACCCTGTCTCAAAAAAGCAAAAAAGCAAAAAAAAAAAAAAAAAAGGAAGTCTTTCTTCAGATACTTACGTGAAAAAAAACCTGCAATATCTTTTAAGTGAAAAAAAAACAGTGCCAAGCAGTACATATAGTATAAGCCCCCACCAACCTTTTTTTTTTTTTTTTTTTTTTTTTTTGAGACAGAGTCTGGCTTTGTATTGCCCAGGCTGGAGTGCAGTGGTGCCATCTCGGCCCACTGCATCCTCCCACCTCCCAGGTTCAAGCTATCCTCCCATCTCAGCCTCCTGAGTAGCTGGGACTACAGGTGCGTGCTACCACGCCTGGCTAATTTTTGTATTTTTTGTAGATTCGAGGTTTCTCCATGTTGGCCAGGCTGATCTTGAACTCCTGACCTCAAGTGATCTGCTGCCTCAGCCTCCCAAAGTGTTAGGAATACGGGCGTGAGCTACTGCGCCCAGCCCCATTTTTGTTTAAAAACTAATAATAATCACCCACACGTGGTTATGAGTACCTATATTCCAACTACTCAGGAGGCTGAGGCGGGAGGATGGCTTAAGCCCAGGACTTTGTGGCCACCTTGAGCAACATAGCAAGACTTCATCTCAAAAAAAAATGTATCAAAATAATCATTTTCACATAGGTATACCTATAGGGGAAAACCTAGAACATGTATATAGCAGGTTTGTCCAACCTGTGGCCCAACACAAATCTGTAAACTTTCTTAAAACAATATGAGGTTTTTTTGTGATTTTTTTTTCTTTTAGCTCATCAGCTATTGCTAGCTTTAGTGTATTTTATGTGTGGCCCAAGGCGATTCTTCTTCTTCCAATGTAGCGCAGGTAGGCCAAAAGATTGGACATCCCTGATATGCACGTTAACAGGTGCCATCCTTGGATGGCAGGATTATAGAGATTGCTACACGTTCATGTCTGTACTACTTCATTTTTATAAATATGCATTTTCCACTCGTAACAAAAAACCGTGATTGAAAATCATCCCGGGTCACAGTGTCTCATGCCTGTAATCCCAACACTGTAAGAGGCTGAGGCTTTGGGAGGCTGAGGTGAGCAGATCACCTGAGGTCAAAAGTTCAAGACCAGCCTGGCCAACACGGTGAAACCCCATCTCTACTGAAAACACAAAAATTAGCCAGGCGTGGTGGTGCACGCCTATAATCCCAGCTACTCGGGAGGCTGAGGTAGGAGAATCACTTGAATCTGGGAGACATTGCAGTGAACTGAGATGGCGCCACTGCACTCCAGCCTGGGGAACAGAGTAAAACTCCATCTAAAAAATAATAATAAAAGAGGCTGAGGCAGGAGCATCACTTAAGGCCATGCGTTCAGGACCCCATCTCTACAAAATAAAAAAAATACTGGCATGGTGGCATGCACCTGTCATCCCAGCTACTCAGGAAGTCGGAGGATTGCTAGAGCCCAGGAGTCGAGGCTGTGGTGAGCAATGACTGTGCCACTGCACTCCAGCCTGGGTGACAGAACAAGATCGTATCTCAAAAAAAAAAAAAAAAAAAAGAATCATTCTGGCTAATGGCTCTTCAGACATCTGTGCTTATGAGAACACCAGCCCCTTCTAAGCGTGTGTGTGTGTGTGTGTGTGTGTGTGTGTGTGTGTGTGTGTGTGTGTGTGTTTTGAGATGGAGTCTCACTCTATCACTCAGGCTGGAGTGCAGTGGCACAATCTCGGCTCACTGCAACCTCCGCATCCTGGGTTCAAGCAATTCTCCCGCCTCAGCCTCCCAAGTAGCTGGGATTACAGGCACCCACCATCGTGCCTGGCTAATTTTTGTATTTTTGTAGAGATGGGGTTTCACCATGTTGGCCAGGCTGGTCTCGAACACCTGACCTCAAGTGATCCACCGGCGTTGGCCTCCCAAAGTGTTGGGATTACAGGCATGAGACACTGTGCCCGGCCACTTTCTAAGCTTTGTGAAGAGTGGGTTGATGGAACAGCCAGGTAGATGTGGGTTCAGATCTCTGCTTCTGTCCTGCTGTGCCACGTGCTGGGGCAGACTCGGGCAGAGAGTGGACAGCTGCATGGTGCCTGCTGCTAGCCATTTCTATGTAAAACCAGATTTCTGGTCCCTTCCTGGAGGCCAATTCTAGGTACTTGGGTGGGCCTGGGAACCTGTGAACCAAGTAAACTGACTTAGACACTCCCCACCCCGCCAGGCCTGTCCTAGCAGCCCCACACAATACGCTCATGTCCTGTCCCCAAACACCGCCATCCTCAAACACGTGCTCTGTTTCCAGGCTGGGCTGGGATCAGATGGGAAGCGGAAGCTCATCATGACCAGAAACTGTTTCCCTATGGAGAGCACTTGGAGATGGCAATGCTGAACCTCACACTGTAGGACTCATACACGACTCCAACGGGATTGTTAGAATCAAATCACTCTCGTGGGAAGAATTTTTATATGGGAAAGCGGATAAAACTTTCATTGGACTGGAATGTTTGGAGAATGTTAAATTCCAAATCAGGAACCACAATCTGCCCTCTAATAAGACATCGGCTATCTAAGCATGTGGGTGCCCCCTTTCTGCCAGCAGTTCTGGTTCTTAAGAAAATCACCATAAATCAGACATGAAAATTCTGGCTCCAAAAATAGCATTTTCTTTGTGCAAATAAAAACGTGTGTATCAAGTATGACGTTCCCCCAACGTGGACACACTCGGTTCCTCACAAAGCCAAGCCCGCTGCAGCTGCCACATCCCTGGACACACTCGGTTCCTCACAAAGCCAAGCTCGCTGCAGCTGCCACATCCCTGGACACATTCGGTTCCTCACAAAGCCAAGCCCGCGGCAGCTGCCACATCCCTGGACACACTCGGTTCCTCACAAAGCCAAGCCCGCTGCAGCTGCCACATCCCTGGGCTTGTGGTGCAGCAGGTGCTTTTCTCAAGACAGGAATCAAAGTGTTAGGAACATGGCAGAAAGGTGACACCTGGAGACCAAATGCAGGATGAGGAGTACTGCAGAGGTCACAGGGAAGTCACAGAACAGTAATACGCTAGCAGGGACATGGGGCGTGAAGAACAGAAGAAGACAGGAAGCATTTCTGAGACTCCAAAGAAGAAATCAGGGCCAACCACAGCTTCCCGGGTCATTCACCAGGTGGCACCACTGCCGTCATTTCAGCTTCTGGCCACTGGGAGGCGCTGCTTGAAAGGGTTTGCCCTGAGACTCCAAGAAGAAGCTGCGGGAAGGACAGCAGGGGCCCTGGGGTTTTAGCCTCTGGCCCAGGAGTTATGTGTCCATAACCAAAGGGAGCACAGTCTGCACCCAGCTCTCATCCCATCAGAGCTGCTGCGACTCCCGCAGGTTCTTCCGGAACTGGTTTAGCTTGCCTTCAGGATCAGGAAAGTTTGAGAAAAGCATCTGCAAAATACTGAAGAGCAGAGCTTACCTCATTGCCTGTCCCCACCCCATCCCAGGTCACCACCTGGATGACCCCAGCTCCCCGACCCAACAACAACCCCTCCCAAGTCCCTAGCTCCCTCACTTGGACTTGAGACCCTTCACACCCCAGCAGCGCTCCGCCTCCATCTTGACATGCTTTCTGGAAACTTCCCCGTATGTCCCACTTTCCCACACTTGGTGCCCTGGAGCACCTTCCGGCCTCTACATGATGTACGTTCCCCTGTGAGCACCCTCCTCTCGGCCTCTGGCCAACACAGTCCCACCCATCTGTGGGTAACAAGGGGGTGTTCTTTTCAGCCTTGCTAAACTGTCTGAATCAAGGATCACAAACTACAGCCTGCAGGCCAAATCCAGCCCACAGCCTGTGTTTGTAAATAAAGCTTTATTGGAACAAAGCCACACCCCTTAATCTACAGATGATCTGTGGCTACTTTCACACCACAACAGAGTACCATGGTTCTGACAGAGACTGGGGGACCCAGTCTAAATGACTTCTGACCTGGACCTTTACTGAAAATCCTCCCAATCATTCTGTTGACAAGAATGATGTATTACTTTTTGCAATAAGAAACAAGTAACCTTTGCAGAATTCCACCCATCTTTCAAGGCTGGTCCCAGAAGTTCCCTTAGCCCACGCACTACCTGATCCTGATCACTTCCTAAACTGCAGCCTGGCCCACCCGGCTCCAGCATCATTTGTGGAGTCTCAGCTCCATAAATCTAGAGGGCAGGTGGGGTTGTGTCCTAACTTTACCGAGCCTACTGTACCGAAATGGGACAGCAGAGTAGGCCAGCCTCTGTGACTTCTGCTCCCTCCCTAGCTTTTCCGCCAGACCCCGCATGGTCCCACCCTGGCTGTGTGAAACAGGGATCAGGGAGCATGGCTCGGTGCCAGTCTCCAGAACCCTGTCCACCCTGGCGTGGTGGCAGACATGGCTACCTGCAGCTGAGCTGCCAGTTCCTCTGAGTCCTCAAAGACCAGGCGGTTTTCTTCATGTTTCACCAGCTCATGTAAACTGCAGAGAGAACAAAAGGAGCCCGAGAGTTTCCTGGAGAAGACACTAGACCCCTGGGGTGCCCAGCTGGGCTCCCACCCACCCCACGCTCAAGCCAGGCTGGGGGTTGGAACAGGGTGTGTGGCTTCTGGGAGGTGGTTCTTAGATTTGGCATCTGAAGGGTATAAAAGCCTGGGGGGGGTGCACATCAAAATGGTCAAACCGATTTGAGGAGAGAGCCTTAAGGAAGGTTTGTACCTTCTGTGCTGGATGCTCTTCAAGGACTGAAGAATTATTTTTGCATGTTTTTCTTAATTCCATGGCCAAGGAACAAGTAAAGGCAACCCCCTGGGGACTGGTTCAGCACATAAAAGATGACTTTTCTAGGACACCAGATTTGATCCCGACATTCCCTCAGCTCAGCTCACACGAGAGGCTCACATCCCTGAATCCCATCCAGGGGCCGGCTCCTGAGCAGGGGCCAAGGGCGCAACTTTTGCTGGGGCTACTGCTTCTAGAATCTCCTCTAACTCCACCCTTCCAAACACCCGTCTATGCTGGGTGGAGTGAGGCCACAGCATGACACTCATTTAACTGATTCAAACCCACCACGTGAGCTTGGCCAAAAGGGACATGGTGGGAGAGAAAGAAACAAAGAAAACCATGTAAGCCTGCAGGCAATTCCCGCCAATTCTACTCTAGGAGCAAAAGCCCCGAGTGAAGTTCTGTTATTTAAGGTGCTTTTTTTTTTTCATACTGGGTTGGTGCAAAAGTAATTGCCATTTTTAATGGCAAAAACCGTGATTACTTTTGTACCAACCTAAATGTAACATGAGCTCTAAATGGAAGCAACTACTTCAGTGAGGCTCAGCCCAGCCACAGTAACCGCAGGGCTCCTCCTCGTGGCCTCCAGTGTGTGCTGGACTGACCGAGGGGCAGGGCCTCACTGTGGGCAGCTCACTCTGCACTGCTTCCCCCTCAGCGGTGGATCTGTGAAGCTATCCCCAGAAAAAATTCGGGTTCTGCTCCTACCACTTGAAGTTCACGGCACACGCAGGCAAACAGCACCTGAACATGTCCACCACCTTCATGGGCAGGTCCAGGCCACTGGAGGACGTGTCCAGACAGACATCCAGGTCCACCGACCCTGCTAGGCAAGAGGGGTGTGGCCAGAGCGCTGGTCTCTGCCCCGGGAACACAAATCCTCCCAGCACAGTGAGGCAACACCCCCCGAGGGGAGTGAAAATTGGATAAGGCCCCCGACATCCCCAACCACAAGTGGCTTAAGCTGGCCAAGCAGCCACACGGCCTGGCTGGGACATCTGAAAATGTAAGTTGACACTTTTTCTACGTAACCACAATTTGATTTTTTTGTTGTTTTGTTTTGAGACAGAGTCTCACTCTGTCACCCAGGCTGGAGTGCAGTGGCACAATCTCAGCTCATTGCAACCTCCACCTCCCAGGTTCACCTCCCACCTGTAATCCCAGCATTTTGGGAGGCCAAGGCGGGCGGATCACCTGAGGTCAGGAGTTCAAGACCAGCCTGGTCAACATGGTGAAACCCCATCTCTACTAAAAAAAAAAATGTAAAATTAGCGAAGCGTCATGGCAGGTGCCTGTAATCCCCGCTACTCAGGAGGCTGAGGCAGGAGAATCACTTGAACCTGGGAAAGAAGAGGTTGCAGTGAGCCAAGATCGCACCATTGCACTCCAGCCTGTGCTACAGGAGCGAAACTCCGTCTCAAAATAATAATAATAATAATAATAATAATAATAATAATAATAAACCACAGCACACCCACCACAAACCAGCTGTCAGTGTGAAAATAAAGCCAAATAGCTAAACATTTCTAAAGATTAGCTGGGGCCAGGCATGATGGGTCACACCTGGAATCCCAGCACTTAGGGAGGCCAAGGCGAGAGGATCACTTGAGGTCAGGAGTTCAAGACCAGCCTGGCCAACATGGTGAAACCCTGTCTCTACTAAAAATACAAAAATAAGCAAGGTGTTGTGGAGAGCTCCTGTAATCCTGTAATCTACTCGGGAGGCTGAGGTGGGAGAATTGCTTGAACCCAGGAGGCAGAGGTTGCATGAACTGAGATCATGCACTCCAACCTAGGCAACGGAGCAAGACTGTCTAAAACAAAGACTAGCTGGAGAATCCTGCCAGGAAAAGGCCCTCAGCCTCCAACAGCTCTGCTCACTCGAAGCTGGAAGATGTGGCTCTAGAGACGCATCAGGAACAAGCCACGACTCCCCACTTGGAGAAATCAATGGGGAAAGAGACGGAGGCAAAGGAGAACCATCTCACTGGTGAGGCGACGCTGTCTGACTCATCGTCCCTGTACCTCCCAAAGCCACTGCCCTCCCACACCTGGGCAACAGTGGCCCCAACCCCAGGCCCAGCCCTCTTGCAGGAAGGAAGAGGACTGAATGGAGGGCGTGGCAGGCTGAAAGGACGTGGCTTCCTCAAACCCCTTGGTAAAGGGCCTCTGGGGCCACCTGGCAGGGAGGGGCTGGCACACCAGGAAGTAGCCTTCTCCCGGGAGTTCAGCTAGAGCCCAGGTCCTGTCCCCAAGTGGCCTCCAGAGCCACCTTTTCAGAAAAGGTACACCCCGCCCACCCCTGTTCCCCCTGCATAAGGCCCCGCCTCCTCCCTGAGCCTCCTGCTGGCCTCTCACCTAGAAGCGGGGGTAGTCCTCGGCCCTCCAGCCAGGGGATGCAGACCTGGATGTGCTGGAAATGCTTCTGGTGGATGAGGCGGCTGTAATACTCCCTCAGAGGCCCTTTGCCTTCACAGAGAAGAGCAGACACTGCCATGAACCCGTCTCTGTCCCTGCCACATAGCCCCAGGCCCAAGACACTCCCCCCTAGGAGGGATCCTTTTCCCAGAAGCTCCACCCCTCGGCAGCTGCAGTCAGGCCCTATCTGGGCCTTTCCAGAAGCAACTCAGGAGCCCCAAGACCTGCAGGGGTATGTGCACCCTGACCCCTGATGCATAGCCCTGCACCTGCAACCAGCTGGCCTCGGGCTGCAAACAAGGCGGGGTAAGCACTGGCCTGGCACGCGACCACCCACTGGGTGGGCCCAGCCTTCTGTCTGTGTTGTGCACAGGGGACAAGAGGACTCCCTCTGCCCTGGCACAGCCCCCAAACCACAGGGCGCAGGTTCCAAGCCGCCCCTGCCCTGCCACAGCCCCCAGAGCACATGGCGCGGGTTCCAAGCCGCACCTGCCCTGCCACAGCCTCCAGAGCACATGGCGCGGGTTCCAAACCAGTCCTGGGAGCCTAGAGGCCAGAGGAGGGAGGAGAGCAGGACCAGCAGCTGGCCCAGACCCCGCCTCTTCCCACACCGCTTCCGCTTTTCTCCCTCCTCACTGAATCATCTTGAAAGGGCTCAGCAGCAGTAACTGGGACAGGGGCTCTTCTGTTTGAAAAATTAAAAGAAGCTTGGTTAAGGCACCAATGACATGGCCGGGCACAGTGGTTCATATCTATAATTTCAGCATATTGGGAGGCCAAGGCGGGTGGATCACCTGAGGTCAGGAGTTCAAGACCAGCCTGGCCAACATGGTGAAGCCCTGTTTCTACTAAAAATACAAAAATAAGCTGGGTGTGGTGGGCACTTTTAGTCCCAGCTACTCTGGAGGCTGAGGCATGAGAATTGCTTGAATGTGAGAGGCAGAGGTTGCAGTGAGCTGAGATCGCACCACTGCATCCCAGCCTGGGCGACAGAGTCTTTGTCTCAAAAAAAAAAAAAAGACACCAATGACATAACAACAAAAAAAAGATGCTTGGAAACTACTGAAAAAGTAGAAAGCTTGGTATCTACAGATTCAAATCTGGGCTCCCTGCCCTGCTGTGAAACCCTCTGAGCCTCAGTTTCCCGCATGTCAAGCAGTGTAAGACCCTATGGCAGAGAGCTGCAGTGAGGATTAAGGAGACAAGATCGTGGGAAGCACAGGGTAAAGGCTGTGTGCCCCTCCCCCTCCACCATCCCCCAACCAAACAGACACCCAGGGTCCCAGGCAGTACCTGTTATCACACAGACGAGAGAAGGAAGGTTCTGTCCGTCAAGAGTCAGTTGTTCAAACTCTGTGTTTAAAAAAAGAAACAATTCTACATGGAATTTCTGATTTAATTTTTTTTTTTTTTTTTTTTTTTTTCTGACAGACTCTCGCTCTGTCACCCAGGCTGGAATGCAATGGCATGATCTCAGCTCACTGCAACCTCTGCCTCCCAGGTTCAAGTAATTCTCGTGCATCAGCCTCCCAAGTAGCTGGGATTACAGGCGCCCACCACCATACCTAGCTAATTTTTGTATTTTTAGTAGAGACAGGTTTCGCCATGTTGGCCAGGTTGGTCTCAAACTCCTGACCTCAGGTGATCTGCCTGCCTCGGCCTCCCAGAGTTCTAGGATTACAGGTGTGAGCCACCATGCCCATTCAGAAAAAAATTTTTAAATAAACAGTAGCCAGAGTCCCCTGGTCAGGTGGAGAAAGTGCACTGCTCTGGCAGGGAGGCCACCAGCCTCTGTGAGATACTCTCCTGGAGGGGGCATTTCAGCCTGAGGGCCTGGTCACTCAATGACCCAACTGGGGATTCAGGGCGGCCCACCTCCACCACCCCTACTGTCCCCAGGCTGCCCCACCCAGTAGCCCAGGACAGGAACATGCTGCAGACCAGGCAAGCAGCTCACAGCTCAGTGGCCCCGACGAGCCCAGAGCTCCTCACCGCAGCCACACACCTACTTTCTAAAGCTGCCAGCAAGATAGAGAAGTCTTCGTCCTCTATGAGAAGAATTGAATGTCAGGGGCCTGTTTCTAGACACCACTCTTCCAGCTCACACGCCCTCCCCTTCTCACTGAGACCGTGGTGGGGTTGGGGCATGCAGGACTGGCAGGGGTGAGGAGAATACAGGTTGGCCAGGTGCCCTTCACACCAACCCCAAGTGCCCCAGTGGTCATGCAGACCTGTCCAGCTTGTGCTGCTGACCAGCAGGGCTGGCCGCTCGTGGAGACGCGTCACCAGCCCGCTCCCAGAATCCCGCTCCGTGAAGGCCGACCGCTCTGTGTCTGGGTCCTCAGGTTCTGAGCTGAAGGAGCAGAAAAAAACCCTGTGAGAGGCCACAGAGCAGGCCCAGGACCCAGAACGGGCATCTCCTGCCATGGTGAGGCCTGCAGGCTCCCAACGGTTGGGGTGCCCGGCTGCATCAGCAGCACCAGGCCACCCCTGCCAATCGAGGCCTGGGCTTGCTTTCTCTAATATTGTTGCTGGGTGCTAAGGTTACAACAGCAAACAAGACTGACTAATTCCTTTTCTCCACAGGACTTACTGTCTTGTCATCCCCTGGACCCAAGATGAGGGTGCTAGGACGCCCTCCCACACCACCCCAGCTTACCCAGGGGCACACCTCAGGGTATGTGGACCTGCACAAAGTTCCCTTCCTTAGCCCCATGAGACACCCCAGGGGACACACAGGTCCACAGATCCTGCCACAGGCCTGGGAACCCATTGGCAGGAGAGTAAGACCCTTTAACATTCCTTAAAGGGTCAGAGAGTAAATACTTCAGGCTTTGTGGGCCACAGGTTCTCTGTTGCAAAACGCGATTCTGCTATTGTAGCTCAAAGGCGGCTGTAGACAACTCAGAAGTTAATGAGTGTGTTGTGTCCCAGTGAAACTTGATTTACAAAAGCAGGAGACTGGCCTGTAGCCTTAGTTTGCCAATCCCTGGATGAGTGGGTTCCCAGGTCTGCAGTGAGAAGGGGAGAGGCCAGGGCAGTGGCGAGCAGGAGAGAAGGCAGCTGAGGGTGGGAGGCCTACCGGGCCCTGAACGGAGAGTGCGTGCTGCCCAGCTTCATGAAGAGCCGGTGCTGCAGGTCCAGAGGTGCCTCTTTAAAGAAAGATGCCGGCTTGTCGTAGACGGTCACAGCCCTGCAATGAAATCATGGCAGGGCTATTGCATTAGTCCAGCATGGAGGCTACTTTCTGCTCAAACCACTCATTTGGGTTCCATGCCCAACGTCACCCATCCTCAGCAAAACAACCTTTATTTCCTTCTTCCTGGTTTCCAGAAATTTCCCCTAAAGACCTGAGGAATCACCGAATGAAAGGGGCTTTTTACAAACTGGAAACTTAAGTGGAGTGCCAATACACAACATGGATTGCACCAGGCTAGGTCTAAGATAAAACCAGACTGTGGACAACAGGACAGATAAGACACACATGGCTCTGCACTGCCTGGGTCTGTTATTGTGTGGAGGAATGTCTTAGTCTGTTGCTCCTGTGGGTGTCGCTAAAGCACGAACCAGGGGTCTTCATCCTTAGAAAGCAGTTAGACACCTGAGAACCAATCCCAAACTGCAGCCTTCCACAGAACCTTCTGGAACCTTCTGGAATGCAACTCATTACTGCCAGAGGCTCTTTGATGAGAGTCTACTCTCCACCATTTGTCTTCAAAGAGAATACCCACATATTATCTTTCTGTGGAAAGGTAAGTTATTAGCGTTTATGCAGTCTGGTATATTAATCGAGAGCTTTACTTCAAAGAATGTCACGTTTACGATTCAGTCTCACAGACTGGGTTAAAAAGGCAGTGTTGACTATTAAGTTGTAAATTACTATGATGATCATTATTATTTAAGCAAGCTGTGAGAAATGAGCATTATCTCACAATATCTGCATTTTAGTGAACCTGAAGGAAGAGTGTATTTGCTGGAATTACAGAAGCCTGAGAACCACAGGGGAATTCTCACTGCAGGGTATTCAGGGTCCAAAGCTGATTCTATTTTGCATGCTAAATCCTTCCTCAATTTATTTTTATTTCTTTCTTTATTTATTGAGACAGGGTCTCCCTCTGTCGCCCAGGCTGGAGCGCCTTGGTGCAATCTCAGCTCACTGCGACCTTGCCTCCCGGGTTCAAGTGATTCTCCTGCCTCAGCCTCCGGAGTAGCTGGGATTTCAGGCACCCACCACAAAGCCCAGCTAATTTTTGTATTTTTAGTAGGGACGGGATTTCACCATGTTGGCCAGGCTGGTCTCGAACTGCTGACCTCAGGTAATCCTCCTGCCTCGGCCGCCCAAAATGCTGAGATTACAGGCATGAGCCACCGTGCCAGGCCCTCAGTTTTATTTTTCTATTTATTTATTTAGAGATGGATTTTTCACTTTTGTCCCCCAGGCTGGAGTGCAGTGGCGTGATCTCAGCTCACTGCTACTTCTGCCTCCAGGAATCAAGCGATTCTCCTACCTCAGCCTCCCGCGTAGCTGGGATTATAGTCACGCACCCGTAAGCCTGGCTAATTTTTGTATTTTTAAGTAGAGACAGGGTTTCACCATGTTGGCTGGGCTGGTATCGAACTCCTGACCTCAGGTGATCCACCTGCCTCGGCCTCCCAAAATGCTGAGATTACAGGTGTGAGTCACTGCACCTGGCCCTTCAATTTAATTTTAATAAAATTATCAAGGAAATAAGCCACAAAAGGACAACGTGCAGACTTTAGAACAGAGCTGTCCAATAGAAATATAATGTAATCCACATGTGTAATATTAAATAATTTAGTCACCACATTAGAAAAAGTAAAAGGGGTGAAATGAATTCTCCTAGTAAACTTTAACCAATATATTCAAAATATTATTATTTCAACATTAATGAATACTTAAAAATTCTTAATGGATATTTTATGTTCTTTTTTTTTTCTTTTTTTGATTATGAAGGCTTGGAAATCTAGTGTATATTTTACACTAAGAGCATATCTCAATTAAGATGGCCACATCTCAAGTGCCCAGTAGCCACATGTGGCCTGAGGCCATGACTCTGGGCAGTACAGCTTTAGGTGAGTCTAGGGCAGGGCAGAGGGGGGCACCTGGGATGAGGTGCGGAGCCTGGGGCCTTGTTTAGCACCCTTTGGTGAGGGCATTTTCTTTCCATAAAACCCAGGTCAAGCGTGCCTCACAAAGGGACCAGTGGAGGTGCCTCAGTTTACTTGGGAGCTTGGCCTCTCCAGCTTGCCCTCCTACTGCCTGGAAGAAGATTAGTGTCCTCTTGCCTTCTCTAGCCCCTTTCCCAAGAACCCTCCCAGAATTTCGTCCTATGAAGGGCCAGGGGTGCAAGGAGTCACCCACACAATGACAGGACCCACCAGCAATACCAGAAGTTGGCTAGCCCTACTCATCCAAATTCCCTTCTGCCAGCTGGACATCACAAGGATTTCAGACTGCCATCCTGTGACAACTCCATTTTGGGGTCTGGGGATGTAAGGGTTACTGTATTAGTCCATTCTCACTCTGCTAATAAAGACATACCTGAGACTGGGTAATTTATAAAGAAAAAGAGGTTTAATGGACTCACAGAGCCACATGACTGGGGAGGCCTCATGATTATGGCAGAAGGTGGAGGAGGAGCAAAGTCACATCTTACATGGCAGCAGGCAAGAGAGTTGTGCAGGGGAGCTCCCCTTTATAAAACCATTAGATCAGGCAGGGAACAGTGACTCACATCTCTAATCACAGCACTTTGGGAAGCCAAGGTGCGTGGATCACCTGAGATCGGGAGTTTGAGACCAGCCTGGCCAAAATGTTGAAACCCCATCTCTAATAAAAATACAAAAATTAGCCAGGCGTAATGGCTCATGCCTGTTGTCCCAGATTCTTGGGAGGCTGAGGCACGAAAATTGCTTAAATCCAGGAGGCAGAGGTTGCAGTGAGCTGAGATCAAGCCACTGCACTCCAGCCTGGGCAACAGAGTGAGACTCGGTCTCAGAAAAAGAAAAAAAGAATTAGATCTTGTGAGACTTATTCAATGTCATGGGAACAGCAGGGGAAAGACCCACCCCGTGATTTAGTTACCTCCCACTAGGTCCCTCCCACAGCATGTGGTGATTATGGGAACTACAATTAGAGATTTGGGTGGGGACACAGCCACACCATATCACTTACTGAGCTGGGCATCTTCTTCCTTGAATGCATATTGGCCACTGAGGCACTTCCTGGTTAACCTCATTCCACAGCTAAGAAAACCCAGGCTTGGCACAGGCAAGGGATCTGACGCAACGTCTCCCATCTTATTAGTGGAAGGACCAAGACTGGACCCACAACTGTGCTCCTGTTTTGAGTCACCATGTGGCCCCCAAGATCAGATCTCAAAACAAGCAGACATGGGGGCTCAGAAAGTCCCCAGCCTAGAACTTTCCTGTCAACCCAATGACACTAAAGGCTAAGCTGGCTGCTTATTATTCTGGATTCACACTAGAATGACCTTGGGGTGTGTTTTACACATGCCGATGTCTGGAGTTTCACCCCCAGCTAACTGACTATGAATCTCTGGGTTGGGGCCTGGGCACTGATGTTCATGCAGAGCTTCTGAGATGATCCTATTGCATTGCCAAGGTCGACACCTGCAGAAACATTGCACTTTTTCATTCATTTAATTATTAAATATGTAATATTTATTATTATTTTTCCAGACATGGAAGTGTTGCAAAAATAGTACAAAGACATCCTTTATACCCTTCGCTGAGATTCCCCAGTGCTACCATTTTACCCCATTTGCTTTATTATTTTCCAAGTGGCAGAAGAGTTATCCTTTACCCCTAAATATTCCTGTGTATTCCTTAATAACAAGGACTTTCTCTTATATAACCAAGGCAATGATCAAAATCAGGAAACTAACCCTGCTACAATACGGTTTTCTAATGGACCTCATTCAGATTTCGCCAGTTAACCCAATGATGTACATTGGAGCAAACGATCATCCCAGATCATGCATTATTTTCAGTTGTTGTGTCTCTGTAGGTACCTTTTAGCCTGGAACAGATCCTCAGTTTTTCTTTATCTTTCATGGTATTGGCATTCTTGAAGAACGCAAGACGGTTATTTGATAGAATGTCCCTTACTTTGGATTTGGCTGATGTTTCTTGGCGGTGATATTCTTATGCATTTGGGGTGGGACTATCACAGCAATGGTGTCATGTTCTCTGTGCATTGCATCAGGAGGGACATGTTGATGGTTTACCCCATTACACCAAAGTGAATGTTGATCGTTCAGTGAAGGTGGGAGCAGGTTCATTTCATTATATTGCAGAAGCCATCATCAGCCATACTCGCTCTGGTTAACCGGTCATCTTATGTAGCCATTTATCTAACAAGGCTGTAAGGATCTTGAACTCAGGGTAAGCAAGCCTTAAAGCAGAAGAGAAGAAAGAAAGGAAGGTTCTGGAACCTGGAGCTTTGGCAAAGGGGGCAGGTGTGGGGAACGCACCACCAAAGTTGCTCCTGGCATTAGGATGAAGAGGAAGGAGAACATTCTATCTAGAAGGGGTTTGGGGTTAGCCAGAGGGGTGTGGGAGAGTCAGAGTCTGCCCACTTGTGGTTTTGCTGAGGGCTACACTGTGGTAGACAGGTCTTTCATTGCTGCTTTTGAAAATTTTGTTTCACAATCCTTCATCTAAAACAGAGCAATTTCCTTTTTCTACGTTTTGGCCCACTTTGCTTCATCTGTCTTCTCTTCTCTTACTTTTAGAGACAGGGCCTTGCTCTGTGGACCAGGCAGGAGTGCAGTGATGTGATCATAGGTCACTGCAGCCTTGACCTCCTGGGCTCAAGCAATCCTCCTGCCTTAGCCTCCTGAGTAGCTGGGACTACAGGTGTGCACCACTGCACCTGGCTAATTTATTTTATTTAGTTTAGTTGTTGTAGAGACGAGGTCTCACTTTGTTGCCCAGGCTGATCTTGGACTCTTGGCTTCAAGGGATCCTCCCGCCTTGGCCTCCCAAAGTGTTGAGATGACAGGCATGAGCCACCATGCCCACCTCTGTCTTTTCTCTTGGGATTAATGACTTCCACATTCGCTCCAGGAATAATTTCTGTGAAGGTGATGCCTGGCTTGACACTTGTGGTAACTCCCGTTGTTTATCTATTGCTTATCTCCAGAACCCATTTGATGCTTCCTACTTCAAAGTGCGCTAGCGCCTGTCAGCTGGAAGGCATCCCCTGAGCTGCTGACAAACAAGGCCTTTTTACCCACAGATTAACCTCTTATTTGTTTTAATAAATGATCAAAAGTTGGTTTGCCTCCTGTGCGTATGTTGGTTGGGGCCAAGAGGGGATCGTGGTGATTTCTGTCCACCTGGGACCTCAGGCCTCCTGGTGGCCCGTGAACAAAAGTGAGGCAGGCAGAGCAATGAGCAGTGTTCCTCGTCTGCCTCACTGCCATCAGTATGTCTGCCTGTGGTTGTCTTTGGCACATTATCAGGATGTGTCACTCCCTCATCTTTGTTCCCTCTCCTTCTTGTATTTACCTTCACCTGGGCTGCTAAGTGCTGCGGGAGAAACATTGCGTTTTTGCGGAGATTGTGGCCACAGCAAATTTAGGTTCCCCACCCTCAGGTTGCCCCTCACTGGTCTCTGCCTCATACCTTTGAAGAAAACAACTCGTGGAGGTCGTCTTATTCATAAAGGTGAACATTTCACAGAGCAGGGCACTGTTGTGGGTTGAATTGCATCCCCTCTCCCACAAAAGACTTCTTGGAGTCCTGACCCCCAGTACCTCAAAATGTGACATATTTGGAGATAGTCATTACAAAGGTAGTCAAGTTAAAATCAGGTTGATAGAGTGGGCTTTATCCAGTATAATGCGTGTCCTTATGGAAAGGGGAAATTGGCCAGGTGCAGTGGCTCATGCCTGTAACCCTAGCACTTTGGGAGGCTGAGGCAAGAGGATCACTTGAGGCCAAGTTTCAAGACCAACCTGGCAGACATAGGGAGACTCCTATCTCTATTAAAAAGATTATAAATAAAATACGCCAGGCACAGTGACTCATGCCTGTAATCCTAGCACTTTGGGAGGCTGAGGCAGGAGGATCACTTGAGGCCAAGGTTCAAGACCAACCTGGCCAACATAGCAAGACCCCCATCTCTATTAAAAAATAATAAAAGAGGCCAGGTGCGGTGGCTCACGTCTGTAATCTTGGCAGTTTGGGAGGCCGAGGCGAGTGGATCACTTGAGGTCAGGAGATCAAGACCAGCCTGGCCAACATGGTGAAACCTGTCTCTACTAAAAATACAAAAAAATTAGTTGGGCACAGTGGTGGGCACCTGTAATCCCAGCTACTCGGGAGGCTGAGGTAGGACAATTGCTTGAACCCGGGAGGCGGAAGTGACAGTGAGCCAAGATTGCACCACCGCACTCCAGCCAGGGTGACAGAGCAGGATTCTGTCTCAAAATAAATAAATAAATAAATAAATAAAATTATATATATCTCTATATATATACACACACACACTACATATATGTGTATTTTTGTGTGTAGATATAGACATAGATATATGGAAAGGGGAAATTTTGGACACAGATGCACACAGGGAGAAGACCACGTGAAGACTGGACTTCTGCTCCACAAGATAAGGAGTTGGCAGAAGCTGGGAGGGAGATCCTTCCCCTAGCATCCTCAGAGGGAGCCTGGCCCTGACAATCCCTTCATCTCAGCCCTCTGGCCTGCAGGTGTAAGACGATGCATTTCTGTAGTTCTAAGCCATCCAGCTTGTGGTATCTTTTTATAGCAGACTGAGGCATTTAATACAGCAGCATTCTGAGCCCTTCCCGTATAAACTCTTCATTTAATCTTCACCACTACCGCCCCGCCCATAAGTGCTGCTGTTATTGTCTTCATTTTAGCTTCTTTTTATCCATGATGTCTGCAGCACAGAGAGGTTCAGTAATTTGCTCATGGTCACTTGAGATAATAAAACCCCACTCTAGGGAACCTCTCATGCCTGCTTCTGGCTGTCACCTTCCCTCTCCCCTTTCCTCCTGTCTCCTTCCTCTCCATCTCCTTTATGAGGCCTTCTTTGCTGTCCCATCTCTTCTTTGCATTTTTACTTTTTATTAATTTTTTTTGAGGGGGGGAAATGGGGTCTCGCTATGTTGTGCAGACTGATCTTGAACTCCTGGCCTCGAGCTATCCTACTGTCTCAGCCTGAGTAGCTGGGATTACAGGTGTGAGCCACCATACCCAGCTGTTGTCCCATCTCCTCAATGTCTGCTTCCCCAGCATCCCTGCCCACAGTTCCTACCTCAGTAGCCCCTCCTGAGCCTCAGTCACCATCTGTGCTGATGAATTGCTGCTCGCCCTCCTCCCAGGCAGGATGCCCCATGGCCACTGCAGGCTCAGCCCATCCACAACAGATTCACAAAGCCGGTCCTTCAATGCTGGATTTCCTAGATTTCCCAGCCAACAGTACCACCAGCTTAAAACCCTGCAGCCATGCCTAAATCCTCTATCTTCCTGTACCCCACATCCCCACGACCAACCCTTGCTGATTTTATGGCTAAATCCCCTCTTTACAGTCAGGAGCAGCTGCAGAATTTGCAAGGCCCAGTGCAAGATGAAAACATGGGCCCCCTTATTCAAAAATCAGAGGAAAAAGCACTGCTGAAGTATTAACATATAAAGCATTTTCTTTCTTCTGTGGTGTCTGTGTCTCAATTTATCATGATGCTTTCATTTGTTATTTAATGTCCTTCCAAGTAAAAAAAAAGTTAACATTTTAAATTACTAGCATGGATTATACTGTTCCTCTTTACATTGTGCAATGCCAGATTTAAATAGGAACACTGGACTCAAATGTGGAATCACAGAAATGACGTAATTTGTACTTTGTATGTGGCATTTTTTTGCCTCACAGAAACAGTGAGACGTTGCAGGAAACTAATTCATCTGTTTTTGTTTGTTTGTTTGTTTTTGTTTTTTTCCCGAGACAGAGTCTTGCTCTCTTGCCCAGGCTGGAGTGCAGGGTGAGATCTCAGCTCACTGCAACCTCTGCCTCCCGGGTTCAGACCATTCTCCTGCCTTAGCCTCCTGAGTAGCTGGGATTACAGGAGCCTGCCACCACACCGGCCTAATTTTTGTATTTTTAATAGAGACGGGGTTTCGCCATGTTGGCCAGGCTGGTCTCGAACTCCTGACCTTGTGATCCACCCACCTCGGCCCCCCAAAATGCTGGGATTACAGACATGAAGCACCACACCTGGCCATTCAGCTGTTTTTATTTCACTTTTTCACACCTATACAATCTACCACCACTCTCTACCTTTGGCTTACTGATGCATAAGGAAGAATTGAAAGGAAAAACAACTATGACTCTGCTATCTTTGCCTCTCCTATGTCATCAGTTCCAGTGGAAGTGGTTGGTTACTACAGGGAATCAGATGAGTAGAAAAGGCTGGGAGAGGGTTCCTTGTTTGTTCCTGTTTCTTAGAATGCCATTGACTTGGTTTTCAATTCTGATTCTATAATAAGAGAAAGTGCAACCTCTTGGTGCTGTCAGCATCTCTTGCAGACTCCGTTGTGGACATAGTAGGCTTCCCTTATGCTCACTTGGAGCCTTGCTGGGCTCCCATGCACTGCGGACCCCCCAAGATTCTATGCTCAGGGCACAGCAGACACGCCATGGGGAGTGCGGTGGCAAGGGACGGGGGTAACTCATATTGTTGGTGTCTCGTCTGCCCACGCACGTGTTCTATTGCCCCATTGGATTTCACTGATAAAACATAGATTCAGACTGGCTGCAGGGGCTCATGCCTGTAATCTCAGCACTTTGGGAGGCTGAGGTGGGCAGATCACTTGAGATCAGGAGTTCAAGACCAGCCTGGCCAATATGGTGAAACCCACTCTCTACTAAAAATACAAAAATTAGCCAGGCGTGGTGGCAGGTGGCTGTAGTCCCAGCTACTTGGGAGGCTGAGGCAGGAGAATCACTTGAGTCTGGGAGGTGGAGGTCGCAGTAAGCCGAGATGGTGCCAGTGCACTCCAGCCTGGGCGACAGAGACTCTTTCTCAAAACAAAACAAAACATAGATTCACACATAAAATGAGGAGGAATTTTAAGACAGTGACAGCAGAGCATTAAGCCAAGCTCGGGGTCCCTCTCAGCTCGGGACCCTGTGTGACTACACAGGCCAAACACCCATGAATTCATCTCAATTTCCATCCCTCTCACACTCTTCCCCACTGCTGTGGTCTCAGTTGGCACCTTCCTCATTTCTACTCCGGAGGACTGCCTGTACCCTGATTTCTTCAAGGGTCTCTCCAGTCTATCAGACGCAGGCCAACCCAGGGTTTCTCTGCATTGCAATCCAACCAGCACCACCCCCCTGCTTACCAGCCTGCAGTAGCTCCCATGTCCCTTCAGGTTAAAATTCAGACTTCTTAGCAAGGAACTGCTTATTTCTCCAGCCTCTGTGACAGCCTCACACCCTACAATCGAGCTCTGCTGATCCTGGAGAAGCTCCCTCTGAGCCTTTGCACACCTGTCTCTGCTACTTGAGGGTGATTTCCACCTGGTTACCTCCTGGTGTCACCTCCCACCTGGAAGCCTTCCTCATCTCTGGGGTGGGTCAGATGTAGCCGTTTTTGCCCTCTCCCTACACACCCTGTGTTTCCTCTCTCCCAGCATTCATCTCGTGACGTACAATAAGCAATTGACTAACTTATCCTTAAGGCCAGGGCCATACCAGCTCTTCTTGTTGACAAATGAGAGAGCAGCGAGCACTTTTGCCCTCTAATGGCATCTGCGGATCACTAGCTGGAGGCCTTGGGACTCTAAGAGCCAAGCTATTCAAGTGCTACAAATAACACCACATGGCCCCCGGTCTTTCCTGTTTCCTCCCTGCATCTATCAAGAAGGAGCAGCTGTTTTTTGAAGCCCTGCTTTCCTTCCCACAGCTTTGCTCACCCCCACCCTGCTTGGCCTCCAAACTCAGAGCTTTGACTTTCCTATAAATACAGTTTCTCTCCAAGTCAACTTGATTCATTCATGCAGGGTCCTAGTTCTCTCTCTCGGCCATTCCAATTCTCCTCTTTCCATTACATTTAAGAGAACCCAGACTGGGCATTGTGGCTCACACCTGTAGTCCCAGCACTTTGAGAGGCCAGGGCAGGTGGATCATCTGAGGTCAGGAGTTTGAGACCAGCCTGGCCAATATGGCGAAACCCCATCTCTACTAAAAAACAAAAATTAGCTGTGTGTGGTGGCACATGCCTGTAGTCCCAGCTACTCGGGAGGCTGGGGCAGGAGAATCACTGTAATCTGAGAGGCAGAGGTTGCAATCACACCACTGCACTCCAGCTTGGGTGACAGAGTGAGACTGTCTCAAACAAAAACCCCAAAAAGACCAAGAAAAGGGCATTCATTTATGGTATAAGAGCGGAAACCAAAAGGCAGAGGTTCCTCGATGGATCTCTGCTGGGACCGTGCTTATCAGCCATTCAACCTCTTCACCACCCGGCGCACATCCAGAAAAGCCCCGCTGGGATTGATTTAGGGGCTAAAAGTAAACATTATCAAGTAGGTGAATTTGCAGCTACAGAATCTGCAGGTAATGCGGATTGATTGTAGAGGCACCAATGAACTGGAGGTCAGATTTTCAACTTAACCTTCCAGGAGATGGCCAGCACCCAAGAGCTAGAAAAAAGGATTCCTGGAGGGTGGTGAAGAAAATAGAAGTCTCAGAGGCTCAGAGACAGATGAATGTAATCCCTCAGCTGTCACCTGAGCTCTGGCTATAAAATGAGACAACAGATGAAGAATAGTAAGCATAAGATTGAGGCCAGGCTCGGTAGCTCATGCCTCTAATCCCAGCACTTTGGGAGGCCAGGCAGGTGGATCATCTGAGGTCGGGAGTTAGAGACCAGCCTGGCCAACATGGTGAAACTCCGTCTCTACTAAAAATACAAAAAAAATTAGCCAGGCGTGGTGGCACATGCCTGTAATCCCAGCTACTCGGGAGGCCATGGCAGGAGAATCGCTTGAACTGGGGAGGCGGAGGTTTCAGTGAGCTGAGATCTCACCACAGCACTCCAGCCTGGGCAACAGAGCGAGACTACATCTCAAAAAAAAAAAAAAAAAAAAAAAAAGATTGGGGCAGTCAGAAGCGACCACCGTCAGCAAAGGAAGGATGAAGGGGAGTGAATAAAGGGTCTACAGGAGAATTAAGAAAGTGTGGGCCCTTGGGTCCATTCGGTGAAGTGGAGCCAGGTCACTGGCGAGTGTGCCAGGGAATCAGTTAAGGATGAATATGAAGCTTGAGGCCAGGCCAGCATAATTGCCCTGTGGGCGTCTGTATTTCTTTACATTTGCTGACTGTCAATCCAGCCTCCTGTGTTTCTGTGAAATATAAAGGAAGAAATGCTGTGACTTCCCCTCACTCTAAGGTGAAACCAAAGAAGGGGAAACTGAGAGACCTGTCCGAAATCCTCCACTGAGTCACTGGGGAGGATGGAATAGATACAGCCGGTCAACCGATCTGTTCTCTAGGCACAGCTTTTTGGATCTGCCACTTGCATCTGCTTCAAGTTTTAGAAACTTCCAGGCTCTGGCTTTTTTGCTGCTTTGGGGAACAAAGCATGTTCGCTCAAGTGTACAGCAAACCTGTCCCGCTCTTAAGTCCAGTCATCTTCAAAATAGATTTTTGAGGTTTATAGTGCTACTCTCCAAATGTCATTATCATCCCCAAAGTGAAAAAAAAGGTTTAATTATTATGAGCAGTGAAATTACCATATAATCTTCCAATTAAATGAATAAGGCACCAAATAAGTGCACTCAAGCCTTAATTTCTACCTTGAAGTTAAGATAGGTATCATGCTTACCTGGATCATCCTACAGATCCTCAAAGTGGGCAGAGTTGAAAGGCTGTCTAAGCGGGTGGGGTGGAAGGCGGTGCCCTTCCACCCTCCTGTCTGTTTGTCGAGCTCTGTTGGTCCTTCTGATTGGTTAGCGACCATGAGTGTTTCTGAGAGCCTTTTGTTGTATGCCGGGGCAGAACCACTAATCTGACCAATTCCAAGCAGAAAAGATCAAGTATAGATTTCATATCTGAGTTTTAAGTGCTAGTAAAAATTTGCATTAAGTTATCAAATGCACTGCGATCCTGGCTTCATCGCCAAGTGGCTCTGCAGTTTGAGGGACGCTGCATCCCTAAGAAAAGAAAAGAAAATTGTTCCCTTTAGATGCTTAGGGTAAAGGGGGATTGATCCAGTTACTTTTCAGTTAATCTAAGTCAGATGGTGTTCGCTGCGTAACTTTCTAAGGTTGGTACTTTATCAAAGAACAAAGTGTGAATTTTTTTTTTTTTTTTTTTTTTTTTTTTTGAGACGGAGTCTCGCTCTGTCGCCCAGGCCGGAGTGCAGTGGCGCAATTTCGGCTCACTGCAAGCTGCGCCTCCCGGGTTCATGCCATTCTTCTGCCTCAGCCTCCCAAGTAGCTGGGACTACCGGCGCCCGCCACCACACCTGGCTAATTTTTTGTATTTTTAGGGGTTTCACCGTATTGAAGTTCTTTGGTTGAAAAGGCATGAAGAAGTTTCTACCAGTCCTGTTTGAAATAAAATAATAGTGTAATCTAAAGATTGTAATACAAGACCAACACATTTAGAGTAACTTTTTAAAATTGGTTGACTGATGTGCTTCTCTCTCTCTCTCTTTCCATAGACGTGTGTGTAGCATATTACATAGAGAAATCTATAAGCCCTGGGTTATGTTGGTTGCTGATGAGGATTAATAGAAGCTACTACTCACTTATTCACCTTTGATCTGCTCTTGTTCTGGTAGTGTTCTTCATTGTGTCATTCATTCAAGAACTGTTCATTGGGCTGGGTGCGGTGGTTCACACCTGTAATCCCAGCACTTTGGGAGGCCGAGGCGGGTGGATCATGAGGTCAGGAGTTTGAGACCAACCTGGCCAACATGGTGAAACCCCACCTCTACTAAAAATACAAAAATTAGCTGGGACTGATGGCATGTGCCTGTAATCCCAGCTACTCTGGAGGCTGAGATAGGAGAATTGCTTGAACCCGGGAGGCAGAAGTTGCAGTGAGCTGAGATTGCGCCACTGCACTCCAGCCAGGGTGACAGAGCAAGACTCCATCTCGGGAAAAAAAAAAAATTGCATGGTCATGTCAGCATCCTCCCCACCCCCCCCTTCCCCAGATCAACCAAAAAAATGGAGAAAAATCTGGAAGGCCACTCCTTTAGACCACTCATGCTAAGTATGAGTGCACACTCACAAAGCGTGCAAGCCAGCTATATTAGTTCATTCTTGCATTGCTATAAAGAAATATCTGAGACTAGGTAATTTATACTTGATCTTAGCCAAAAGGCTGAGAAGCAATGGGATTGGGTAATTTATAAGGAAAGAGGTTGAATTGGCTCACTCTTCTGCAGACTGTATGGGAGGCATAGCAACTTCTGCTTCTGGTGAGGTCTCAGGAAGCTTCCAATCATGGCAGAAGATGAATGAGGAGCAGTCCTCTTACATGGCAGGAGCAGGAGCCAGAGATAATGACTGGGGGAGGTGCCGTGCACTTTTTTTTTTTTGAGACAGAGTCTTGCTCTGTCATCAAAGCTGGAATGCAATGGTGTGATCTCAGCTCACTGCATCCTCTGCCTCCTGAGCTCAAGTGATTCTCCTGCCTCAGCCTCCCAGGTAGCTGGGATTACAGGCGCCCGCCGCCACGCTGGCTACTTTTTGTATTTTTACGAGAGACGGGGTTTTGCCATGTTGGCCAGGCTGGTCTTGAACTCCTGACCTCAGGTGATCCACCCACCTCAGCCTTTCAAAGTGCTGGGATTACAGGCGTGAGCCACCACGCCCGGCCCCACACACTTTTTAACGACCAGATCTCATGAGAACCCACTCACTATCCTGAGTACAATACCAAAGAGAATAGTGCTAAACCATTCATGGGAAACCTGCCCTCATGATCCAATTGCCTCCCACCAGGCCCCAGCTCCAACACTGGGGATTACAGTTCAACACACAATTGGGTGGAGATACAGTTCCAAACTCTATCACCAGCCCTCCTGCTTTCACCTCCCCCGTTTTAGACAATCAGTGTTTGAATTGCCTCTTCCACTTCTGTGCCAAATTATGACTCTGAAGAGGATGCCTCTCTGCCCATTGTTGGACATTATGGGCTGTACAGAGTGCTCCTTTTTCTGAAGCAATGACGTTGGCCATCAAGATTCATGCAGTATCTCCTGTTCTGGTTTTTTTTTTTCCTTTTCTTTTTTTTTTTTTCTTTTCCTTTTTTTTTTTTTGAGACAGAGTCTCCCTCTGTCTCCCAGGCTGGAGTGCAAAGGCACGATCTCGGCTCACTGCAACCTCCGCCTCCTGGGTTCAGGTGATTCTTCCACCTCAGCCTCCCGAGTAGCTGGGATTGGCTAATTTTTTTTGTATTTTTGTAGTGATGAGGTGTCACCATGTTTGCCAGGCTGGTATTGAACTCCTGACCTCAGGTGATCTGCCCACCTCAGCCTCCCAAAGTATTGAGATTACAGGTATGAGCCACCGTGCCTGGCCTTTTTTTTTTTTTTTTTTTAGTGGCACTCTGAGTGTTTGCATCTTCTACCATGCAAACAAAGCCCAGTCCAGAGACAGTGTCTATTCCTGTCAAGACCTAGATGTAGAACCCCAGGGCTGCCAGCATCCAACTCATTTGCCAGTTATGTTAAGAGCTTTCCCACAAGGGAATGTGCCTCACAGCCATGGGCAGTCTCTTTTCTCTTGCTGGGAGACAAAACAGTTTTTTTTGTTTTTTATTTTTATTTTTTTGAGACGTTGTTCCACTCTTGTTGCCCAGGCCGGAGTCCAGTGGCGTCATTTCGGCTCACCGCAACCTCCACCTCCTGGGTACAAGCAATTCTCCTGCCTCAGCTGAGATTATAGGCATGCACCACCACGCCTCAGTAATTTTGTATTTTTAGTAGAGATGGGGTTTCTCCATGTTGGTCAGGCTGGTCTCCAACTCCCAACCTCAGGTGATCCACCCACCTCAGCCTCCCAAAGTGCTGGAACTACAGGCTTGAGCCAGCGCAACCAGCGACAGAATAGTTATTGGCATTTTGAGCCCGAGGGTCATGGCTAGATTCAGCCCATCTCTGCACTGCTGCAGAACCGCCTTGTTCACTCATTTCATGGACCCAGGCGACCACCTCACAGGAGCACACAAAAAAAACTCACTTGGTGACTCCAGCCATCTCCTGAGCCTGGAAGGGAGTTTTTCTGATGGGCATGAACCTGTTCTACTTCAAGACATCTTTCACATCTCCACAGGGCTCTGCCCCACATGGATGTCCCGTTAATAAGCCAGGTAGCTATTGCCCTCTTGCCTGAGTGTACAGCCAAGACACTGGTCACTGCCCAGGAGTCAGTAAAAACCCAAACACGGGGCTGCTACCACTGTTCAACTGATCAAATATATATTTCACAATATCACACTCCTGTAGAACACTTTGGAACATGTACCATGATTCTTTGAAAATCAGTTATTGACATCATTCTAGTATAGATCAGCAGCTAGGAAAACAGCATGCAATTCAACTCACTGAGCTGACTGATTTTTACAGTCTTTAGCCAGAGTAGCAGCCCTCCAAACAGGATGTTGTTTGTTCACCTCAAAATTGTCATCCATAGACCAAACAGCTGGGGGTGAGTGAGTTGAGAGCTGGTTATATAGGGCATTGTCGAACTGTTGAGAGAATCCAGCAGCTCCTCACTGTTCCAGAGTCAGTTGTAGGAGAAAAGAGGCTCCCTCCTTGGGAATATCTCCTCCCTGCATTCCCCACAGAGCATGATGCTGTATAAACCATTTCCGTTTTATTATGTTTCTTTTTTTTTTTTTTTTTTCTGAAATGGAGTCTTGCTCTTGTCGCCCAGGCTGGAGTGCAATGGTGTGATCTTGGCTCACTGCAACCTCTGCCTCCCAGGTTCAAGCTATTCTCCTCCCTCAACCTCCCAGGTAGCTGGGATTACAGGCATCCACCACCACGCCTGGCTAATTTTTTGTATTTTTAGTAGAGATGGAATTTCACCATGTTGGTCAGGCTGGTCTCGAACTCTTGATCTCAGGTGATCCACCCACCTCGGCCTCCCAAAGTGCTGGGATTACAGGTGTGAGCCACTGCGCCCAGCCTCATTAGAGTGTTTCTATGACATCACCTGAGACAGCATGGGTATTTCAGGTGTCAAGATCATTTTATGGGCCAGGAGTTGTCGCTGGGAGACGGTGACAGGCTTTTGCCATATGCTGCTTTAGAGGCTCCATAGAGGGGTTATCGAAAGAATATGTCCCTCCCAGCTCAGCATCTTCCACTCTGCACTTTGCGGGCTGGGGGCAATCTTACTGGCTCCCATCTCACGTCCCATTAATATTGCTTGAAGGACAAGTCAGATACAAAGTCCATTCCCTAATACAATCAGGTAAAAGAGATGTAAACATTTCATATGAAGCATGTTCAAATGCACCAACTTTCATAATTCTACCAACCCTTACATTTTTAAGTTCTAGATCCAGGAGCTTCTCTTCTCCACCAGCCAGTGCAAAAGGCTTTGAGTCGCCAGCAGAGGGTTGAGCCAAGGAGCCTTGGCCCTTTTGTCAATCTTTATCTGGATGAACCTGCCTCAACATTGGCCCAGGTGATTGCTGATCAGCTTTCTCATTGTAATCTCTGCTTAATGACTTTTAAAATTTCTCCAAACTAAGGTGAATACAGCAAACCCATTTGGAACTCCTTAATGTTGGCAGCCAGCAAGGGCTCTTTTTGGTCCACCCAACCTTCAATAGTGTTGTATTAAGACCTTTGTTTTCACCCCATCAATTTCCATTCTATTCGTCTCATTTCTTAAGCACCACTAAGGGTTTTCAGCCTCCTGCGATGAGTCCCATGGCACTTCCCTTTTTCCTCTTAGTTTTAGATTTATTAATGTTTTCTTTAATTTCTTTATCTCTTAATAACTGCTTAAATACATCCACCTTCATGGGATGAGTCCTTTGACTCTGTCCTCTGCTTTTCCACATTATTTTATTAATTGCCCTAATGTCTTTTATTAGCATCTATAAGACCCATGAGGGGAAGCTGAGATAGCAAATTCAATAAGTCTTCTCCAAACATAGCTTGATTTTGCAGCAGTGAGATTGCATGAGGTGTCCATGCAAATGGGGCCCCTTAATCACAGCATTTCCCATGACCTGGGTAACAGGCAATGTAGTGGGTGGATATCCCAGTCACCATAAAGCCAGTCCCATGTGGCTTGCATACAAAGCATGTCAGCTGCTTCATCTGGAGCGCTCCACTTGGCATTTATAGATGGAGTTGGACAGTCCCCCTTCTCAGGGTAAACACACATTATGGAGGCTTTTATCCAGTCTACTAGGCTGGCTGTTGCCTCAGGAATAGCCTGCTGTATGTCCAGATCGTATATAGCCATCTGAGGTTGTTCCATAGTGAGCTGTGGATCCTGCATCAACCCAAACATGCTCCTCCCCTCTGCAGCATGTAAAACCAAAGATACTGCCCCTAAATTAGTTACTCTCACAGTCCATTTTAGTAAAGGTCCCTTAGGGAGTTGAAGATACTGAACCACAAAATAAAACAGTTCCTTCACACTCTACCCCTTCGTTTCAGTAGTTACTTAATTTTGCCCTTCCCCGAAATTCACTACCTTCTTAGTAACCACAGGTCTCAGAGGCATTTTCTGTTGTTTCCGCATAATTTTGCCCTTAGAGAATGGCTCCAAAGCTAGTGGCCAAAGCTCAGACTCACTGACATCTAAGGTTGGTGTAGCATTGAGGCTGGACCTAGCGCTCTCCTTTATTTTTATTTTAGCTATTACAGATAACAATAAGCAAAGGAGTGAATATTTCACTTCTTTGTTATTAGTTTGCATTTCCTTGCACATCCAGTGAACCAACTTCCCAAGAGTTGGATCTATCTCCAAATTCCAGTGGTAACTTTCACCTTTAATAACTGAGTGCAGCACAGCTGTGACTTCATACCATGGGTGACCATGTGACCATCCAGGAATCAAAGGTCCCTTATCCTCCATCCTCTCATTCTTTTTTTTTTGAGACAGAGTCTGGCTCTGTCACCCAGGCTGGAGTGCAGTGGCAAAATCTCGGCTCACTGCACGCTCCGCCTCTCAGGTTCACATCATTCTCCTACCTCAGCCTCCCAGGTAGCTGGGACTACAGGCGCACGCCACTACGCCCAGCTAATTTTTTGTATTTTTAGTAGAGACGGGGTTTCACTGTGTTAACCAGGATGGTCTTGATCTGTTGACCTCGTGATCTGCCCGCCTCGGCCTCCCAAAGTTCTGGGATTACAGGCATGAGCCACTGTGCCCGGCCCCTCTCATTCTTTCTCTTCCCAAAGCACATGTTTCTATGAGCCACGGCCACGGCCAGAAAATCCCACTTCTGACACCAGTTGTGTAAACACACACACACACACACACACACAAACTCAAAATACTTTCTCTATTCTTTCACTCAACAACAATCAACACAGAATATTTTTGTGACCAAATGTTTGGGGATTCCTCCCCACCAACAAGCAAACAATCAATTCTGCAGCAAATACCAGCTGGCTATACTCCAATTCAATTCTGACACCATCTACCTGGAGATAGCATCATATCCCACAGATTGAGGGCTCGGTCCCCAAGACTATTGCCCTTCCTCCCAGCAGTCACAATCTGGGCCTCCAGAACTTTTGAACAACCAGCTTCAAGTTGAGCTTCCCATAACCCCCTCCTTGGGTTCCATCAATATGGAGTGGTTCATAGAAAAACTTTAGGGAAGATTACTTATGTTTATCAGTTCATTATAAAGGCTATTACAAAGGATACAGATGAAGAGACACACAGGGAAAGGGATGGGGAAGGAGTGTGGAGCTTCTATGCCCACCTTGGGTGCCCTGCCCTCCAGAAACGTGTACATGTTCTGCTATACAGAAGCTCTCCAAACCCAATTCTTTTGGATTTTTATAGAAGCATCATTACCTAGGCACAATTGATTAAATCACTGGCCATTAGTGATCAATATAACCTTCAGTTCCTCTCCTCTCCCTAGAAGTTGGGGTTAGGCTCAAAGTCCCAACTCTCTAATCTTGCCTTGGTCTTTCCAGGGACTAGCCCCCATTCTGAAGCTAGCTAGGGGCTGCCAGCCATCAGTCAACTTATTAGCATACCAAAACACATCACTTTGGAGATTCTAAGGGTTTTAGGAGTTGTATGGAAGGAAACATGTGAAAGATCAAATATATATTTCACAATATCACACTCCCGTAGAACACTTTGGGACTCATATCACGATTCTTTGAAAATCAGTTATTTACCTCATTCTGGTATAAATCAATGAAAATGACCGCGGCAAGTTGTAATCATTTTAAGGGGTTTATTTGCCAAAGTTAAGGACACCCACCAGGGAGACAGGTCAATGCCTTTCTCCAAAGATAATTTTAAGGGCTTCAATATTTAAAGGGGAAAGGATGGATATTGGGGGAATATACAAGTTTCATATGAGAGTGAGTAGAGGAAATAGTCATTCATGCTGTCACTTCGTCTGGCTAAGGGAATCTGCAATATTACATAAGACAATGTAAACAATAGGGCAGAGGAAGCAATCAGAAATCAGATATACATTTCTGATTGCTCTCAGGCAAGCAGAAGGATGACTTTGAGTTCTGTCCTGTCCCGTCCTGCATCTGTGGATAAGCTATCAGTTGATATTGCCTGGGTGAAATTCAACAGAACTGTTTTCAATAAAGATCTTGGGGCCTGCAAGGAATCTCCTTGTGGGCAAAAGGTGAGCGATGTATGTAGCTTTTTATCTTTGTAGCCATCTTAGTTAGGAACAAAATGGGACGCAGGTTTGCATGACTCAGTTCCCAGCTTGACTGTTCCCTTTGGCTTAGTAAGTATGGGGCCCCAAGATTTATTTTCCTCCCACACTGGTCTTTCTATAGTCACTGGATTATTTGAATATTAATGGATTTTCATTGTAAATGTGATGAGGATGACAATCCCAAGAAGGATTTCCCTGTGTCTTTCGGAAGACAGAGGAGAGCTCCCTCCATTCTTAGGGGTTCATGTCGTGAACTCCTCATCTGTATTCAAAAAATGGAAACCTAAGAACTTTGGTCTAAGCTTTTCTAAGATTTGCTCTACCCAAGCCTTTCAGGATACTCCTTTGAGGAAGGTTTTAGCCATGGCAGTAGCTGTAAGAGTTTCTGCTGATACACAGTGGGAGGATTCAACAGGGAAGAGTATCTTGGAGTTACACATGAGCTGTACCAAGATCCCTGAGTGATGTGAAGCTGATAAAAAAGAGTCTACATCCAGCTGGTCATGTGGCTCACGCCTGTAATCCCAGCACTTTGGGAAGCTGAGGCAGAAGGATCACCTGAGGTCAGGAGTTCGAGACCAGCCTGGCCAATATGGTGAAACCCTGTCTCCGCTAAAAATAAAAAAAAATGGCCAGGCATGCTGGCACGCGCCTGTAGTCCCAGCCACTCGGGCGGCCGAGGCAGGAGAATTGCTTGAACCTGGGAGGCAGAAGTTGCGGTGAGCCGAGATCGTGCCATTGCACTCCAGCCTGGGTGATAGGAAAAAAAGAAAAGAATCTACACCCTCCCATTTCCTCTCCTCACCAGTTTAACAAGGATCAACAGAACATCTCCAGGCTCTACTGGATTCCAGGACTGATTTCTTAACAGAGTGTGCACAACTGCCGTCTTCCAGGATAGCAAATACTTGCCCACAAATAGAGTTAGACTGTACAAGTTCTGGCTGAAATTATTAAGAAATAAAGTAGTTTTGACTGATCCAACATGATGGCTAATTTGACCCGGAGGGAATCATTAATAAACAGCTGCATTAGTAGTTGTTCTTTAAAAAGGATCTCTCTTCAACCAGCCAAGAAACCAAGGTGTGGGAAGTTCAGTGGCCTGACTGTGCCCAGCACACTGGAATGCATGAGCTTGCCTACCGGGAAAGGAGCATGCCCAAAAGGGCATGAGATTGGGAGCAGCTCATCTGTCAACTGCCTTTTGTTTAAGGACAACATTGGCAGCTGGCTCCTGCTCCACCCCACTTCCTACCTTCATCCTGGGAGATGCCTGGTCCACAGGGCATCTTCACTCTCAGTCCTGGCATCCTTGTTTCCAGCAACCTTCTGCACCAACCTCTTCTACCTCTTTCCATGGCCACTCCTGGACGTTTCCATAACCTGCAAATCCACCTTGAAATCATTCCTCAAACAAATCGTGGGCACAGCCTCCTGCCTTTCCAGCCTGCTGTGTGATTCCCTCACTCTGACCTTGCTGGTCCTCATCAGGATCTCTGATCCCTTGGGCCCCTCGCCTCTTCTATGCTCATTTCCTTTCTTATAATTAGCTTGGAGCCCGCGGTTCATCATTTTGAGCAATCTCTCGACAATATCCCCCTTCAAACTTGTCGGACCAAAACCCACAATAAGAAATCTAATACATATGAGCCTGGCGCAGTGGCTCACACTTGTAATCCCAGCACTTTGGGAGGCTGAGGTGGGTGGATCATTTGAGGTCAGGGGTTCCAGACCAGCCTGGCCAAAAACAAAAATTAGCCGGGCATGGCGCGGGCACCTGTAATCCCAGCTACTCCGGAGGCTGAGGCAGGAGAACTGCTTGAACCAGGAAGGTGGAGGTTGCAGTCAACCGAAATTGCGCCACAGTACTCCAGCCTGGGTGACAAAGGGAGACTCCGTCTCGGGGGAAAAAAAAATAGAAATCGAATACTTATGATCTAAGGGTCATCTGCATACGTGTTTATCTATACACATACATATACACACAAGCCTCTTTCAACTTTAACTCAATCATAATTATTTAAAAATCTCTCCCTGAACATCACTTCTTACAGCTATGTTTCTCTCTTTTTTTTTTGAGATGGAGTCTTGCTCTTTCGCCCAGGCTGGAGTGCAATAGTGTGATCTCAGCTCACTGCAACTCCACCTTCCAGGTTCACGCCATTCTCCTGCAGCAGCCTCCCAGTGTCCGCCACCACGCCCGGCTAATTTTTTGTATTTTTAGTAGAGATGGGGTTTCACCGTGTTAGCCAGTATGGTCTCGATCTCCTGACCTCATGATCTGCCCACCTCAGCCTCCCAAAGTTT